>NC_000001.11:50917471-51068986 GCF_000001405.40 Homo sapiens | reverse complement strand
AAGGCTGAGGCAGGAGAATCGCTTGAACCCAGGAGGCGGAGGTTGCAATGAGGTGAGATTGTGCCACCGCACTCCAGCCTGGGCAACAGAGTGAAATTCCATCTCAAAAGAAAAAAAAGAAAGAAAGAAAAAGAAAAAAAGAAAGAAAAGAAAGTAGGGAATGGGGGTAGGCAGGCTATGGTGGGGACTGTTGCAATCTTCCCTGTGGCCAGGGAGGACAGTGTCTAAGGAGCCAAGCAGAGATTTGTAGGAAATGTATTCCAATGGATGAAATATCAAGCGCAGACTTGACATAGGTGTGGCAGGAACCGAATATGGGAGGCATAGATATTAAGGTAAGGTTGGAATGATAATGAAAGGAGATTCAGATCATGAAGGGTCTTGTGGGTTGTCATAAGGACTTTGACTTTTACTCTGAGTGAGATGGAAACTATTGAAGAATACTGAAATAATGAGTGACCTCATCTGCCTTCTATTTTAACACGATCAGTTTGGCTGCTGTGTTGGGAATACAACGGTGGAAGAAGCATAGACACCAATTAGGAGGGTATTGCAGTGAGTAATCCAAGTGAAGGATCCCCAACAAGACCTTGGAGAAAGGGATAAAGCTGAGGTCAGGGTAATTATTCCCCTGGATTTCTTCTTACAAGATCACCTGGTTGTATCTCTTGACAAAAGGCTATTCCTCTCAAGATAGCTAAATTTACAAAATTATTCCTTTTCAAATTATAACCTCCCTTTCCTTGTCTCTTTGGGCCTAGGGGTGGTGGCATCTTGGCTACTACAGGTATTGAGCTTGGCATGATTGAACTATCCCTAGAGGCTTGCCTACACCTGTATCTTGTAGGTAGCTCCCATAATTCCCACATGTTGTGGGAGGGACCCCGGTGGGAGATGACTGAATTTTGGGGGTGGGTCTTTCCTGCACTGCTCTTGTGATAGTGAATGAGTCTCACTAGATCTGATGGTTTTAAAAATGGGAATTTTCCTGCACAAGCTCTCTTTGCCTGCTGCCATCCACATGAGACGGGACTTGCCTCTCCTTGCCTTCCACCATGATTGTGAGGCTCCCCCAGCCACGTGGGACTGTAAGTCCAATTAAACCTCTTTATTTTGTAAATTGATCAGTCTTGGGTATGTCTTTATCAGCAGTATGAAAACTGACTAATACAGTAAATTGGTACCGAGAGAGGGGTATGGCTGAAAAGATACCTGAAAATGTGGAAGCGACTTTGGAACTGGGTAACTGGCAGAGATTGGAACAGTTTGGAGGGCTCAGAAGAAGACAGGAAAATGTGGGAAAGTTTGGAGCTTTTTGAATGGCTTTGCCCCAAATGCGGATAGTGATATGGACAATAAGGTCCAGGCTGAGGTGGTCTCAGATAGAGATGAGGAACTTGTTGGGAACTGGAGCAAAGGTGACTCTTGTTATGTTTTAGCAAAGAGACTGGTGGCATTTTGCCCATGTCCTAGAGACTTGTGGAACTTTGAACTTGAGAGAGATGATTTAGGTATCTGGTGGAAGAAATTTCTAAGCAGCAAAGCATTCAAAAGGTGACTTGGGTGCTGTTAAAAACATTCAGTTTTAAAAGGGAAACAGCATAAATGTCTGAAAAATTTGCAGCCTGACACTGTCATAGAAAAGAAAATCCCATTTTCTGAGGAGAAATTTAAGCCAGCTACAGAAATTTGCATAAGTAGTGAGGAGACAAATGTTAATCCCCAAAACAATGGGGAAAATGTATGCAGGGCATGTCAGAGGTCTTCATGGCAGCCCCTCCCATGGTAGGCCTGGGCGCTTAGAAGGAAAAAGTGGTTTCGTGGACCAGGCCCAGGGTCCCCGAGCTGTGTGCACCCTAGGGACTTGGTGCCCTGTGTCCCAGCCACTCCAGCTATGGCTGAAAGTGGCCAATGTAGGGCTTGGGTTGTGGCTTCAAATGGTGCAAGTCCCAAGCCTTGGCAGCTTCCACATGGTGTTGAGCCTGCAGGTACACAGAAGTCAAGAATTGAAGTTTGGCAACCTCCACCTAGATTTCAGCAGCTGTATGGAAACGCCTGGATGCCCAGGCAGAAGTTTGCTGCAGGGGTGGGGCTCTCATGGAGATCTTCTGCTAGGGCAGTGTGATAGGAAGCTGTGGGGTCAGAGCCCCCACACAAAGTCCCTACTGGGGTACTGCCTAGTGGAGCTGTGAGAAGAGGGCCACCATCCTCTAGACCCCAGAATGGTAGATCCACTGATTGCTTGCACCATGTGCCTGGAAAAGCTGCAGACACTCAATGCCAGCCCATGAAAGCTGGGCTGGGTGAGGCTGTACCCTGCAAAGCCACAGGGGCGGAGCTGCCCAAAACCATGGGAACCCACCTCTTGCATCAGCTTGACCTGGATGTGAGACTTGGAGTCAAAGGAGATCATTTTAGAGCCTTAAGATTTGACTGCCCCGCTGGATTTCAGACTTGCATGGGCCCTGTAGCCCCTTTGTTTTGTCCAATTTCTCCCATTTGGAATGGCTGTATTTACCCAATGCCTCTACTCCCATTGTATCTAGGAAGTAACTACCTTGCTTTTGATTTTGCAGGCTCATAGGCAGAAGAAACTTGCCTTGTCTCACATGAGACTTTGGACTGTGGACTTTTGAATTAATGCTGAAATGAGTTGAGACTTTGGGGGACTGTTGGAAAGGCATGATTGGTTTTGAAATGTGAAGATATGAGATTTGGGAGGGGCCAGGGGCAGAAGGATATGGTTTGGCTCTGTGTCCCCACCCAAATTTCATTTTGTAGCTCCCATAATTCCCATGCGTGTGGGAGGGACCCAGTGGGGTATGATTGAATTATGGGGGTGGGTCTTTCCTGCGCTGTTCTTTTGATGATGAATGAGTCTCACTAGACCTGATAGTTTTAAAAGTGGGAATTTCCCTCCACAAGCTCTGTTTGCCTGCTGCCATCCACATAAGACAGGACTTGATCCTCCTTGCTTTCCACCACGATTGTGAGGCTTCCCCAGCCATGTGGAACTGTAAGTCCAATTAAACCTCTTTATTTTGTAAATTGACCAGTCTCAGGTATGTCTTTATCAGCAGCATGAAAACAGATTAATACACTAGGATTAAATCAAAAGGACACAGACCCAAACTTGAAGTGGTTCCCACTCCAGATATGAGATAAATTTAGCCTCAATAAGGATCATAATCACAATAGAGTGAAACTCATCAAATCCATGAGTTCATAATGATAGAAAAATTGCTCACAATTAGAAAATAATAGGAAACAAATGTGTTACCTTGAAAACCAATAAAGGGAAAGATCAAAAATTTATCCTGCCTTTCCCAAGCTGGGCACAGTGGCTCATGAATGTAGTCCCAGCACTTTGGGAGGCCAAGGCAGCTGGATCACCTGAGGTCAGGAGTTCAAGACCAGCCTGGCCAACATGGTGAAACCACGTCACTATTAAAAATACAAAAATTAGCTGGGTGTGATGGCACGCACCTATAATCCTAGCAACTCAGGAGGCTGAGGCAGGAGAATCACTTGAACCTGGGAGGTGGAGGTTGCAGTGAGCTGAGACTATGCCACTACACTCCAGCCTGGGCGACAGAGCGAGACTCCATCACACACACACAAAAATTATCCTGCCTTTACTACATGAACTATACCATTGGATAACCAAATAATAGGTGAAGAGAAGCATCACTTTATTGAAGTATTTCAACTAACGAAATAGAAGTGTTAGCATTAGAAGGCTGGGTGCAGTGGCTCACGCCTGTAATCTCAGCACTTTGGGAGGCCAAGGTGAGTGGATCAGTTGAGATCAGGAGTTCGAGATCAGCCTGACCAACCTGGTGAAACCCTGTCTCTACTAAAAATACAAAAACATTAGCTGGATGTGGTGGCACAGGCCTGTAGTCTCAGCTACTCGGGAGGCTGAGGCAGGAGAACTGCTTGAACCTGGGAGGCAGAGGTTGCAATGAACCAAGATCACACCACTGCATCTCAGCCTGGGTGACAGAGTGAGACTCTGTCTCAAAAAAAAGAAAAAAAGAAAGAAAAAGAAATGTTAGAATTAGGATACCACCACTTTGAAAGTCCCAGTAAATTAATGGCTATAAGTATTCAACAGCAATAATTGTTCACATCACAACCAGACATGATGTGCCTCTTAATGAAAGACCACAGCACTATATTGTTTGGCCAAAGTGAATGACCCTGAGTCTGCTCAAACCTCTGGGTTTAGCTGTCAACTTGCAAGAAATAGAGGATTCAGAGAAACACAATGAATTGCATGCTCCTCTGACATAGTTTTAAGGGTGTCATTTTCTAATAATTCATTAAGCTACACATTTATATGTTACTCTTTATCTGTGTTTTATTTTACAGTAAAAAACAATAAACAAAATTTCCCACCATGCTTGGTAGGATTGCCTTTTCCTCCTTGGAAAGTCTCTCAGTTTTTGTTCTATGTGTGTGTGTGTATGTGTGTGTGTGTGTGTGTCTCTGTGTCCATGTATCTAACTATATACAGTTGACCCTTGAACACTATGGGGATTAGGGACACTGACCCCATGCAGTTGAAATCCACATATAACTTTTTTTTTTAAGAGACGGGGTCTTGCTCTGTCGCTGAGGAAACTGGAGTGCAGTGCATGATCACGGCTCACTGCAGCCTTGACCTCCCAGGCTCAAGTGATCCTCCTACGTCAGCCTCCCGAGTAGCTGGGATCACAGACGTATACCACCACACCTGGCTAATTTTTGTATTTTTTGTACAGATAGGGTCCAGCCATGTTGCCCAGGCTGGTCTTGAACTTCTGGACTCAAGCAATCTGCCCACCCCAGCCTCCCAAAGTGCTGGGATAATAGGCATGAGCCACTGTGCCTGGCCACATATAAGTTTTGACACTCTAAAAACTTAACCAGTAGTAGCTTTTGACCTGATTTGACACTCTAAAAACCACTAATAGCTTTTGACCTGAACCCTTATCGATGACATAGTCAATTAACACATATTTTGTGTTACATGTATTATATACTGTATAGTAATTAAGCAAGCTAGAGAAAAGAAAATGTTATTAAGAAAATAATAAGGAAGATAAAAAGTATTCACTATTCATTAGGTGGAAGTGTATCGTTAGAAAGGTCTCTATCCTACTCACATTGGGTATGCTAAAGAGGTGGGGTTGGTCTTGTTGCAGGGATGGCAGAGGTGGAAGAAGATCTGTGTATAAGTGGATCTGCACAGCTCAAACCCATGTTGTTCAAGGCTTACATGCACACACACACACACACACATATATATACACACATGTATGTATGTATGTATGAATATTAGGCTGCTTATGGTGGTAATAACATTTGGGACAAACAAGAATGTGACTGAAGAACTTGAAATCTGGGGAATGAGATGTCCATATGGAGGCTTTGAAAAGCTTTGACATTTACCTGGAAATTCTGAAGGCTACTCACATACATAGGACTGTGGACATGCCTGAGCTATGGGCATGGTCAGAAAAGACTTGAGAAGGCCCTAAGCTCTTACCTCTGACTGACCTTGAGTCTGCACAAGGAGGAATTTACAGCTAAAGCAGAGATGTGAACTACCTGCCTGAGTGTTAAAGGTTTGCCACAATGTGCCCACAGGAACTCTTAGCAAAGCCTGGGAGACTTATGGAGACTTATTTGTTCTAGACATTTGAGGAAATTTCTGCAATTCTTAGCTGATGACTAAGCAAACTGAGCAGATACTTCAGTGACCACACTTGAAAAAGGATAGAGACTTTATAGAATTAGTCCAGGAAAGTTACTAAGAAACAGCAACAACAACAAACAAAACAAATAAACAACCAGCAATATTAATAAACCCTGGGATGGGAGAGAGTCTGATTTCCATAGTTGTTACATTATATTATGTAAAATGACTATTTTCAACAGGAAATTATGAGACTCAAAGTAGGGCCCATATATTGGGAAAAAAAAAGCAGTTAATAGAAACTGTCCCTCAGAAAGCCTTGATGCTAAACTTACAAGGCCAAGTTGTTAAATCAGCGATATTAAATGTTTGAAGAACTAAAGGAAACTATGTATAAAGAACCAAAGGAAAGTATGAAAATGATATAAAACTTAAGAGAGAATATCAATAAAGAGATAGACATTTAAATAATTTCTTTTTAAATAAAACAACCAAATAGAAATTCTAGAGTCAAAAAGTACTGAAACAAAAAAATTCACTAGAGGGTTTCAAGAGCATATTTGAAAAAGAATCAGTGAACCTGAAGATAAACCAATTGAGAAAATCTGGTCTGAGAAAGAGAAAGAAAAAAAGATTAACAAAGATGAAGAGAACCTTGCAGATCTATAGGATACCATCAAGCATGCCAATCTATGCATAATGGTAGTCTCGGAAGAGAGAAAAAGGAGCAAAAAATATGCTTGACAAAATAATGGCCAAAAACTGCCAGCGTTTGATGAAAAACATTAATCTATACATCAAAGAAACTCAACAGACTCCAAGTATAGTTGACCCTTGAACAACATGGGTTTGAGCTGTTCAGGTCCACTTATATGGAACTTTTACTCACCTCTGCCATCCCTGAGATGGCAAGACCAACCCCTCTTTTTCCTTCTCCTCTTTAGCCTACTCAATGTGAAAACAGAGGGGATGAATTCCTTTCTGATTACCCACTTAATGAATAGTAAATATATTTTCCTTATTATTTTCTTTTCTCTGGCTGGCTTAATGGTAAAAATACAGTATATGATACTTATAACATTAAAAAAAGTGTTAATCAGCTGTTTATGTTGTCAGTAACATTCTGGCCAATAGTAGACTATTGGTAGTTAAGTTTTTGGGAAGTCAAAAGTTGTATGTGGATTTTTTTTCTACCCTCTTCTCACAGGTATGTATATGTGGATGTTTGACTAGTGGGGTCGGCACCCCAACCCCTCATGTTGTTCAAGGTTATACTGTAGTATAAATGCAAAGAGATGCACACCTATACACAACATAACCAACTGGAAAACCAAGGGCACAGAGAGTATATTGAAAGCAGAAAGACAGAAGCAGCTCATCATCTCTGAGGTATTCTTGATAAGATTAACAGCCAAATTCTTTCCAGTAACTTTATGAATATAAACTATTGTTATGAATATAGACTATCAGAATGATTCCAGCTCCATATAAAAATATTTATGGACCATGACAAAGTGGAATTTATTCCATGAATACAGGCTCAGCATACATTATCATATATCATATTAATAGAATAATGGACAAAAGCCAAACAGTCATGTCATAGATATGAAAAAGCACTTGAGAAAATTCAACACACTTTAATGATTAAAAAAACAAACAAGAAACCTGGAATAGAAGGAAACTTCCTCAGCCTGATAAAGGGCATCTATGAAAACACACTGCTAATGTCACTTTGTGGTGAAAGGCTTGAAAAAATTATCCCATCTTAGTCTGTGTTACTATTAATATAAAGGCATACCTGAGGCTGGGTAATTCATGAAGAAAAGAGGTTCATTTGTCTCACGGTTCTGCAGGCTGCACAAGAATCATGGCATTGGCATCTGCTTCTAGTGAAGGCTCCAGGCTGATTCCACTTATGGCAGAAAGTGAAGAGGAGCTGGTATATGCATATCATATGGTGAGAGAGGAAGCAAGAGAGAGACTAGAGGAGGTACCAGGCTTTTTTCAACAACCAGTTCTTGTGGGAACTAAAAGTAAGAACTCACTCTCGTGAGAATGGTACAGAGCTATTCATGAAGGATCCACCCCCACAACCCAAACACTCCTACCAGGCCCCATCTTTAACACTGGGGATCAGATTTCAACATGAGACTTGGCAGGGCCAAACAAATCATATTCAAACCATAGTACCACCTAAGATCAGGAATAAGACAAGGACGTTCACTCTTACCATTTATATTCAGTGTTGTACCAAGGGCTGCATACCCATCAGTCAGAATCCTTGTGTCATGGCATCCTCCAGGTGTCACTTTTCCAGTTGGAAACCTCTGTGGCCAGTGGTGCCTTTGCCAGAGTTTTGCTCAAGCCTGCTGGGCTTGTTCCACCCACTCGGCCTGGCAGGCTGCACTCAGCTCATGCTACTGGCCTGGCTCCCACACCTTCAAAGAATGATCCAGGCATGGAGAGGAGAGGGGTGCACAAGTAAGCAAGCATGGGGTCTGGCTGCTGCACACAGCCAAGCATTGGCTGCTGTGGTGGGGTGGGCAGTTCCAGGTGCCACCACAGGTGCTGGCTCTGTTCAAGCCTGTGGCTGGATCAGATGCACTATAAGTGGCTTCTGCTCTGGGCACTCACATCTGGACAAGGGGAACATGGTGGCACTTGGAAGCTCCAAGACACTAGAAACCACAGAGCCCCAAAGAGGGTGTCACAGCCCTGGCTGGGGGAGCCTGTGCATCTGAGCTCCCTGAAGGGCTGCAGCTCTTCTCTCCTTCTCATTGCCTGCAGTGTGACGAGTGGGGTGGAGGCAGGTGTTTTAGCTCTGTTTGTGTTATAGCACTTTCAGTCCCACCATTCAACAGGTCCTGAATTTTTGTCCTGTGTCCAGGAAGAATGAGGTATGCAGAAAACTGGAGGGTGAGCAAGGCAGAAAGGAACTTTCTTGAGCAAAAGAGTGACAGAACAGCTCTTGGGAGACCTGGAGTTGGTAGCTCCTTTCCACAGGCAGGTCATCCCAACTAGTTCAGCCCTCAGTAGAGAGGAGCCCCAGATTGGGTAGCTCCATTTCACAGGCAGGTCATCCTGACAAGTGTCCAGCTCTCTGGGGAGAGGAGACCTGGAGTGGGTAGCTCCTTTCCATAGGCAGTTAGTCCTGACGAGTGCATCCCTCAGCAGAGAGGAGACCAGAGTGGGCAGCTCCTACCTGCAGGCAGGTCATCCCAACAAGTGTCCAGCTCTCAGAAGAAAGGACACCTGGAGTGGATAGCTCCTTTCTGCAGGCAGGTAGTCCTGACGAGTGCAGCCCTCAGCAGAGAAGAGACCCAGAGAAGGTAGCTCCTAGCTGCAGGCAGGTTGTCCAGATGAGTGTCCAGCTCTCAGGGGAGAGGAAACCCAGAGTAGGTAGCTCCTTTCCACAGACAGGTTGTCCCAACAAGTGTTCAACTCTCAGCAGAAAGGAGACCCAGAGTGAGTAGCTCTTTTCCACAGGCAGGTCATACTGACAAGTAGAGGAGACCTGAAGTGGGTAGCTCCTTCCTGCAGCTGGTAGTCCTGACATCTGTATGAGTCTAGCTAGGTAACATAGTTTTTATGGGCTCAGAAAGGAAGAAGTGTGTTCTGATTGGCCCATGGGTGGCCATGGGCGGGCCTGGAAAAAGCACCATAAGTTCTCACTCCAGGCCGCAGACTCCACCTGGAGCTGACAGCCCAGCCCCCAGGCTTCATGCCATCCATGGCTTGAAGGTTGCGTTTCACTGGGAACCTGCCCCTTTCTGCCCAGGAGCCTGTCTGCCTCCTGTCACCATCAACATGTTGTCCATGCCGCCCAGGCTGTTCATGCTGAGGTTTGCCTACAGGCCCACACTGAGCCACCCTGAGCAACCCCTTGGTCTCCCTCTTGTGCTCTTCAGTTCCCAAAGTCTGGATGGCCTGAGACAGCAGGGGGCTGGCATGTCAGCACTGCCCTGAGTGCTTGGGTACCCAGCTGGGTCACAACAGTGCCTGGGCTCTGCCACAACTTTGCTCTGCCCCAGAGTGGGGGCCAGGAGCAGGGAGAGGCCAGGCAGTGGGAGCAGGCACTTTCAAGCCTACGGGAACAAAGGGCTTCCGGGGCCCCTGAGACCTCAGGGATGCCTGGGTCTGTGGCTACAGCTGAGAAGCTGCAGCTGTGCCTGGGAGCATGTGGCTCCTGCTCCACTGACTTGTTAGGGGGTGGGGCTCCCACCTGTTCCCGGCACCCGTGGGCTCAGCAGAGTGTGCAGCCCCAGTTGTGCTTCCCCTGCTGAAGCCGGCATCTTCACAGTGGCTACTCCAGACAGGCCACTGCTGCCATCACTTGCACCAACCTGTAGGTGACAGTCTTCCTCCATGAAGCCAGTTCATATGCTCTAGAAGTTACTCCTCCATGAAATATGCAAAGAAACAGCCCAAGGCTACAAGAAATACGCACACACGAAATCAAAGAAACAGGACACCACCAAAGGAACACAATAATTTTCCAATAACCAACCCCAAAGAAATGGATATCTATAAATTGCCTTCCAAACAATTAGAAATAATTGTTTTTAAAGAAGTTCAGCATGCAATAGGAGAACACAGTTGGACAACTCAGTGAAAACAGAAAAAGAGTCTACGGCCATACCACCTCGAACATGTCTGATTTCATCTGAAAACAGAGAAAGAATACATGAACAATACAAGAAGTTCAACAGGAAGGTAGAACTTATAAAAAAGAACCAGGCTGGGAGTGGTGGCTCACACCTGTAATCCTAGCACTTTGGGAGGCCAAGGTAGGCGGATTGCCTGAGCTCAGGAGTTTGAGACCAGCCTGGGCAACACAGTGAAACCCCATATCTACTAAAATACAAAAAATTAGCTGGGCATGGTGGTGTGCACCTGTAATCCCAGCTACTCAGGAGACTGAGACAGGAGAATCACTTGAACCTGGGAGGCAGAGGTTGCAGTGAGCTGAGGTCATGCCACTGCACTCCAGCCTGGGTGACAGAATGAGACTCCAACTCAAAAAAAGAAAAAAAAAAAAAAAAGAAAAAGAAAGAAATTCTGGAACCAAAAAACCTAATGACTGATATTAAAAACACAATAGAGAACTTCAAAAATAGACTTTATTGAGCAGAAGAAAGAATTTGTGCCCTTGAAGACAGGTTATTTGAAATTATCCAGTCAGAGGAGAAAAAAGAATGAAAAAGAGTGAAGAAAATTTATAGGACTTATGGGACACCATCAAGCAAACCAATATGTGCATAATGAGAGTACTAGAAGAAGAAAAGCAAGAGAAAGAGGTAAAAAGCTTTTTTAAAGAAATAATGGGTTAGGTGCAGTGGCTCATGCCTGTAATCCCAGCACTTTGGGAGGTCGAGGCAGGTGGATCACCTGAGGTCAGGAGTTAAAGACCAGCTTGGCCAACATGGTGAAACCTTGTCTCTACTTAAACTACAAAAATTAGCCAGGTGTGGTGGCAGGTGCCTGTAATTCCAGCTACTCGGGAGGCTGAGGCAGGAGAATGACTTGAACTTGGGAGGCAGACGTTGCAATGAACTGAGATTGTGCCACTGTACTCCAGCCTGGGTGACAGAGCAAGACTACTTCTCAAAAAATTATAATAATAATAATGATAATAAAATAAAATAAAGAAGTAATGGCTGAAAACTTCTCAAATTTTGAGAGGGAAATGGATATCCAGATTCATGAAGCTTACAGGTTTTCAAAGAGGATCAATTCAAGACTATACCAAGGTACATTTTAATCAAATTGTCTAAAATAAAGGACACTGAAAGAATTTTAAAGCTGCAAGAGAAAAGTAATGCATCACATATAGGGAATCACCATAAGACTATCAGTGGCTTTCTCATCAGAAACCTTGCATGCCGAAGAGAATGGGATGATATATTGAAAGAACTGGAAAAAAAAAACTACTTACCGTGAATCTACATCTGGCAAGATTATCCTTTAAAAATGAAGGGGAGATGAATTCTTCCTTAGACAAACAAAAACAAAGGGAGTCTGTCACTACTAGCCCAGCCGTAAAAGAAATGTTTAAAAGAGTTATTTCTTCAAATTGAAATGAAAACACACTAAATAGTATAATGAAAACATATAAAAGCATAAATATTATGAGTAAAGGAAAATATATGGACAAATATAGTTAATATAAAACTATAATGGTGGGGCCTAACTTACTTTTAACCCTAATATAAAAATTAAAAGATAAAAATTTGTCAAAGGATACACAATATAAAAGGCAACAAACTGACTACAAGAACACAAAGTGTAGGGGTGGGGAGTAAAAATGTAAAACGGTTTTTGGTTTTGGTTTTTTTTAGAGACAAGGTCTTACTACATTGCACAGGCTGGTCTCAAACACCTCACTTCAAGCAATCCTCCTGTCTCAGCCTCCCAAAGCACTGGGATTACAGGTGTGAGCCACCATGCCTGGCCAAAAGTATAAAGGTTTTGGATGTGATTGAAATAGTTATAAACTTAAAAATAGATGGTTAGAAATACAAGATATTTTTCATAAGCCTCAAGTTAACCACAAAGAATAAAATCTGTAACAGATACAGAAAACATAAAGAGATGAGAATCAAAGCAATCACTATAAAACATCAAATAACAAACGAATATAATAAGAGAGGAAGAGAGGGGCAATATAACTGCAAAAGACACAAACCAGTTAACAGAATGGCAATAGTAGTCCTCAGCTATCACTAATTACTTTAAATGTAAATGGATTAAACTCACCAATTAAAAGGCATAGAGTGGCTGTGTAATTTGAAAGAACAGGATCCAATGGTATGTTGTTTATAAGAGACTGATTTTAGAGTTAAAGACACATATAGACTAAAAGTGAAGAGATGAGAAAAGATTTCTCACGCAAATGGTAACCAAGGATACGCAGGGTAACTATACTTATGTTAGACAAAACAGATTTTAGTTTAAAGCTGCCTGCAGAGACAAAGTCTTGATATAATTATAAAAAGATCATTTCAACATGATTATGTAACAATTATAAATATGTATATACTGAACAAAGAGCATCTAAATATATAAAGCAAATGTTGACAGATCTGAAGGCAGAATTTGACAGTAACATGATAATAGTAGAGGATTTCAATACTCCACTTATAATAATGTACAGAATATCAAAAAAGAAACAGAAAACACTATAAAACAAATGATCCTAACAGATATATAAAGAAATTTGCACCCAACAACAGAAGATTATCCACTTTTCTCAAGCATACATGGAACATTCTCCAGGATAGATCATATGTTAGATTACAAAACAAGTGACCTAATTTAAGAAGATTGGAATTATTCCAAGTATCTTTCTGGACCACAAGGGATGAAAGTAGAAATCAATAATCTTAAGAAAATAGGAAAAATCACAAACACATAGAAACTCAACAACAAACTCTTGAACAACTCTTGGGTCAAAGAGGAAATCAACGGGTAATTTTAAGAGTATCTTGAGGCTAGAAATGATGGCTCACATCTATAATCCCACTGCTTTGGGAGGCCAAGATGGGAAAATTGCTTGAGACCAAGAGTTTGAGGCTAGCCTGGGCAAAGAAAAAAAAAAAAAAAAAAAAAAAGAAAGAAAGAAAAGAAAGAGAGAAAGAAAGGGAAAAAAAAGAGAAAAACAGTAGAACATACCAAAATTTATAGGGTGCAGCAAAAGCAGTACTAAAAGGGAAGTATATAGTGATAAATGCCTACATTAAAAGAAGAAAGAAGGCCGGGCACAGTGGCTCATGCCTGTAATCCCAGCACTTTGGGAGGCCGAGGTGGGAGGATCACTTGAGGTCAGGAGTTTGAGACCAGCCTGGCCAACATGGCAAAATCTCATCTCTACTAAAAATACAAAAAATTAGCCAAGCATGGTGGTGCGTGCCTGTAATCCCAGCTACGTGGGAGGCTGAGGCAGGAGATCACTTGAACCTGGGAGGTAGAGGTTGCAGTGAGCCAAGATCATGCCACTGCACTCCAGCCTGGGTGACAGAGCATGACTCAGTCTCAAAAAGAAAGAAATAGAAAGAAAAAGAAAGAAAGAAAGAAAAGAAAGAAAGAAAGAAAGGAAGGAAGGAAGGAAGAGAAAGAAAGAAGGGAGGGAGGGAGGGAGGGGAGAGAGGGAGGGAGGAAGGGAGGAAGGAGAAAGATCTCAAATAAGATATTACACCTCAAAGAACTAGAAAAAGAGCAAACTAAGCCCCAAATTAGTGGAATAAAGGAATTAATAAAGATCAAAGAAGAAATAGAGAATATATTTATTTATTTGTTTATTTTTTTGAGACAGAGTCTCACTGTGTCACACAGGCTGGAGTGCAGTGGCATGATCCCGGGTTCAAGTGATTCTCGTGCCTGAGCCTCCTGAGTAGTTGGGATTACAGGTGCCCACCAGCATGCCCGGCTAATTTTTGTATTCTTAGTAAGAGACGGGGTTTCACCATGTTGGTCAGGCTGGTCTCGAACTCCTGACCTCAGGAATTGATTCCTGCTGGGATTACAGGCATGAGCCACTAGGCCTGGCCTCAAATAGAGAATTTTATAAGCAAGAGAAAAGATTCCATAAGACTAAGAGTTGGTTTTTTGAAAACAAAAAATCAACAAAAAATCTCAGTCTTTGCTAGACTGAGAAAAAAGAAAAAAAACTCAAATAAACCAGAAATAAGAGAGGACGCATTGCAAAGAGTGCCTCAGAAATAAAAAGAATCGGCTGAGCATAGTGGCTTACGCCTATAATCCCAGCACTTTGGGAGGCCAGGGAGGGTGGATCACTTGAGGTCAGGAGTTCGAGACCAGCCTGGCCAACATGGTGAAACCCCATCTCTACTAAAAATACACAAATTAGCCGAGTGTGATGGCACATGCCTGTAATCCCAGCTACTTGGGAGGCTGAGGCATGAGAATTGCTTGAACCCAGGAGGTGGAGGCTGCAGTGAGCTGAGATCATGCCACTGCATTCCAACCTTGGTGATGGAGTGGGACTGTCTCAAAAAAAAAAAAAAAAAAAGAATCATAAGGGACTATTATGAACAATTTAATTATATGCCAATAAACTATAACTTAGAAGATTAGAACCATATACCCTGAATTAAGAAAATATAGAAAGCCTGAAGAAACCAATAACAAGTAAGAACATTGAATCAATAATCAAAGCCTTCCAGCAAAGAAAAGCCCAGAATCAGATGGCCTCCTGGGTGAATTGTATGAAACATTTGTAAAATAATTAATACCCTTTCTCCTTAAACTCTTCCCAAAAAGATAAGGAATACTTCCAAATTCATTCTATGAGGCCAGCATCATCCTGACACCAAAACCAGACAAAAACACTATACAAAAGAAAAAGAAAGAAAGAAAACTAAAGAGCAATAGTCCCAATGAATATACATGCAAAAGTCCTCAATGAAATGCTAGCAAACTGAATTCAGTTGCTCATTAAAGGGATCATATACTATGACCAACTTGAGTTTATCCTTGGGAGTTAAGGATGGTTCACTATATGCAAATCAACCAATGAGATACAGCACATTAACAAAATGAAAGAAAAAACCACATGATCTTCTCAATAGATGCAGAAAAAAACATTTGACAAAATTTGCCATCCATTCATGATTAAAGCTACAACAAAATAAATATAGCAGGAACTTACCTCAAAACAACAAAGATCATATATGAAAAGCCCAAACCTAACACCACAATCAAACCTTGGGGGACAGGTCGAAAGCTTCCCCCAAGATCCAATACAAGGCAAGGATGTTCATGCTTGACACTTCTGTTCAACATATTACTGGAAGTTCTTGCCAGAATAATTAGACCAAAATAACATCCAAATTGTAAAAGAATAAGTAAAATTATCTCTGTTTGCAGATGACACAATCAAATATGTACAGAACCCTAAAGGAAAAAAATCTGTTGGAACTAACTAACCAATTTAGTAAAGTTACAGGATAACCAACATACTAAAACACACAAACAGCAAAACTACCTGAAAAGGAAATTTAAAAAACAATCCCATTTACAATAGCTACAAACTTAACCAAAACAGAAACACTTGCATGCTGAAAATTATGAAACATTGATGAAGGAAACTGAAGAAGACACAGATGAATGGAAATACATCCTATGTTCATGGATTGGAAAATTCAATATTTTTAAAATGTCAACATTAGGCCAGGCACAGAGGCTCATGCCTGTAATCCCAGCACTTTGGGAGGCTGAGGTGGGTGGATCACCTGAGATGGGGAGTTCGAGACTAGCCTGACCAACTTGGAGAAACCCCGTGTCTACTAAAAATACAAAATTAGCCAGGCATGGTGGTGCATGCCTGTAATCCCAGCTACTCGAGAGGCTGAGGCAGGAGAATCCCTTGAACCCTGCAGCTGGAGGTTGCGGTGAGCTGAGATCACGCCATTGCACTCCAGCCTGGGCAACAAGAGCGAAATTCTGTCTCAAAAAAAAAAGAAAAAAAAAAGCCACATTATTCAAAGTGATCTACAGATTCAGTACAATCTCTATCAAAATCCCACTGGCATTCTTTATAGAAATAGAAAAAATTATGCTAAAATTTATATGGAACCACAATAGACCCCACATAGCCAAGTCAATCTTGAGCAAGAAAAATGAAGCTAGAGGCATCACACTTCCTGACTTCAAAATATATTACAAAGTGACATTAATCAAAGCAGCATGTTGCTGACATAAAAACAGACATATAGACGAATGGAACAAAATAGAGAACCCAGTCAACTGATCTTTGACAGAGGTGCCAAGAACACACAATGGGGAAAGGATAGCCCCTTACATAAGTGATGTGGGGAAAACTGATACGAGCATACTTAATTTTACTGTAGTTTGCTTTTTTGTGCTTCACAGATCCTGCATTTTTTATTAATTGAAGGTTTGTGGCAACCCTGCACTGACCAAGTCTATCGGTGTCACTTTTCCAAGAGCATGTGCTCACTTTTGGGTCTTTGTCACATTTTGGTTATTCTTTTGATATTTAAAATTTTTTGTTATTATTATATCTATTATGGCGATCTGTGGTCAGTGATCTTTCATGTTATTATTGTAATTGTTTTGGGGCACCACAAACTGCACCCATATGAGATAGTGAACTTAATTGATAAGTATTGGGTGTGTTTTTGCTACCCCACCAACCGACATTCCCCCCATCTCTCTCCCCCTGCTTGGGTCTATTCCCCAAGACACAAGAATATTGAAATTAGGCCAACTAATGATGCTAAAATGGCCTCTAATTGTTCAAGTGAAAGGAAGAGTTGCACATTTATCATCTTAAATCAAAAGCTAAAAGCAATTAAGCTTAATGAGGAAGGCATGTCAAAGGCTGAGATATGCTGAAAGCTAGGACTCTTGCACCAAACAGCAAAGTTGTGAATGCAAAGGAAAAATCCTTGAAGGATATTAAAAGTGCTACTCCAGTGAACATATGAATAATAAGAAAGCAAAACAGACTTATTGTTGACAGAGAGAAAGTTTAGTGGCCTAGATAGAAGATCAAACCAGCCACAATATTGTATTAAGCCAAAGCCTAATTCAGAGCCAGGCCTTAACTCTCTTCAATTCTGTGAAGGCTGAGAGAGGTGAGGAAGCTGGAGAAGAAAAGTCTGAAGCTAGCAGAAGTTAATTCATGAGGTTTAAGGGAAGAAGCCAACTCCATAGCATAAAAGTTAAAGATGAAACAGCAAGTGCTGATGTAGAAGTTACGGCAACCTTTATCCAGAAGATCTAGCTAAGATAATTGATAAAGGTGGCTACTCTAAAGAACAGATTTTTCAATGTACACAAAATAGCCTTCTATTGGAAGAAGATGCCATCTAGGACTTTGATAGCTAAAGAGAAGTCAATGCCTGGCTTCAAAGTTTCAAAGGGCAGCCTGACTCTCTCCTTAGGGGCTAATGTAGAATGTGACTTTCAGTTGAAGCCAATGCTCATTGAGAATTCTGAAAATCCTAGGGCTCTTCAAAATTATGCCAAATCAATTCTGCCTATGCTTTCTAAATGAACAACAAAGCCTGGATGAGAGCCCATCTCTTTACAGCATGGTTTACTAAATATTTTAAGTCCACTCTTGAGACCTACTCCTGAGGAAAATGATTCCTTTCAAACTATTGCTGGTTATTGACAATGCACCCAATCATCCAAGAGTTCTGATGGAGATGTACAAGGAGATGAATGTTGTTTTTATGCCTGGTAACACATCATCCATTCTGCAGTCCGTGGGTCAAGGAGTAATTTTGAGTATCAAGTCTTATTCTTTAAGAAATATATTTTGTAAGGCTATAGCTGCCATAGATTATGATTCCTCTTACAGATCTGGGCAAAGTACATTGAAAACCTTCTGGAAAAGAGTCACCATTCTAGATGCCATTAAGAAAATTCATGATTCATGGGAGGTCAAAATATCAGCATTAGCAGGAGTTTGAAAGAAGTTGATTTCAGCCCTCATGAATGACTTTGAGTGGTTCAGGACTTCTGGGAAAGGAGTCACTGAAGATTGGTGGAAATAGCAAGAGAACTGGAATTAGAAATGAAGCCTGAAGATATGACTGAATTGCTGCAATCTCATGATAAAACTTGAATGGAAGAGGAGTTGCTTCTTATGGATGAGCAAACAGTGGTTTCTTATGATGGAATCTATTCCAGATGAAGATGTGAACATTGTTGAAATGACAACAAAGGATTTAGAATATGACATAACCTTAGTTGATAAGGCAGCAGTAGAGCTTAAGAGGATTGAGTCCAATTTTGGAAGAAGTTATCCTGTGGGCAAAATGCTATCAAACAGCATCACATGCTAGAGAAAAATCTTTCATGAAAGAGTCAACTGATGTGGCAAACTTCACTGTTGTCTTATTTTTAAGAAATTGTGGGCCAGGCGCAGTGGCTAGTGCCTGTAATCCTAGCATTTTGGGAGGCTAAGGCAGGAGGATCACTTGAGCTCAGGAGTTCAAGACCAATCTGGGCAACATAGTGAGACCCCCTCTCTGCAAAACAGTGTTAAAAATTAGCTAGGCATTGTGGCATGTGCCTATAGTTACAGCTACTCCAGAGGCTGAGGTGGGAGGATTGCTTGACCTCAGGAATTCAAGGCTGCAGTGAGCCATGATTGTGCCACTGCACATCAGCCTGGGTGACGGAGTAAGACCTTGTCTCAAAAAAAAAAAAAAAGGAAGAAAAAAGAAAGAAAGAAAGGAAGGAAGGAAGGAAGAAAGGAAGGAAGGAAGGGAAATTGCCACAGCCACCCCAACCTTCAACAACCACCACGCTGATCAGTCAGCAGCTTCAACCTTGAGGCAAGAACTTCCATCAGCAATAAGATTATGACTCACTAAAGGATCAAATGAATATTACCATTTTTTTAGCAATAAAGTATTTTAAAATTAAGGTATGTACATTTTTTAGACATAATGCTGTTCCACACTAATATACTATAGAATAGTGTAAATATAACTTTTATATGCACTGGGAAATAAAAAAGTCATGTGACTCATTTTATTGCAATATTAACTTTACTATGGTGGTCTATAACTGAATCTGCAATATCTTCAAAGTATGCCTGTACATTTGTAATTTTGATAGATTTTGCCAAATTGCTCTCATGGAAGTCTACTACATGCTAATATCAACAATGTAGCGGAATTACTATTTCTCCACCTCCTCACCAACATGGTAGTATATTCAACTTTTTTTCCTTTGCCAATTTAGTGGGGAAAATGATATCACAATGTAATTCTAATTTATTTTTCTTATTAGGAGGAAAATTATTTTTTAATGTGTTTGAGGTACTTGTATGTTCTTTCTGTGAGCTGTCTGTTGCTCAAGACTTTTTAAGGGAGAAAATGAGTTTCAAAACCTTTTTTTGAATAATATTGTAGACCAGAAAACACTTCTGTCATTGAATTTTAGATTACTTTTTAAAAGTATGCCTGAAAAGAGTTAGGGAAGTTTGCAAGGACCAAAGATTCTAGTTACATATGATAACTGCACTGATGTAGCTATATACATAACAGAAAAAAATTGAACAATTTATTTCAAGCCTCTAGTTCATTTCACTTTATAATAGATGAATTTCAGAAAATATGTATCTTAAACACTTTCTGTAAAGAGTTTTAAGGTACAATTTTTTAACAAAATAATGATTAAAAGGATATTAACTGTCAACCTAAATAACAAACAATGAGGGAGACTCTCTAAAATATTTATTCAGGAATAGACATTGCAATGGGAATTACATGCCATAGTAAATTATGTGTGTATTCAGGGAGGTAAAGGAAGACAAACGTTTTTGAAGGAAAAATGAGGAGGATTACATCATAGTTTTTGAGATAATTATCCTTGACTATAAGTATCATTCACAAGGGTGGCTCCTGTCCAAGGCTGGACAGGCAGTTGCTGGGCATGCTGGGCAGATATTCTCATAGAAGTTTTTTGGTTTTTGTAAGGTTCTGATGGCATTTGTGCAAGGTTGTGGTTTCTACAGTCTTTTATGATAGCTCTTATTACCAGGCATTCATATGAGAACTCTCCCTTCATGACCTTCCCCAGTTCTAGTTGTCAGAGTTTTTAACACAAACGAAATTTTGATTCTGACAGCTTTCACATAATCATTAAGGCAATTTACCTCCCATTTATTTTCTATTCTTGTTTATAGTTATCTAGAATGTTGTCATAATATAATCAGCTTTCCCATAGTTTTATTATGTTGCATTATTAGAAGAATTTTGGATTGATTGAAGATTTAAATGACAGACCTCTAACCAGAAAAATCCTAGAAGAAAACCTAGGAAATATCCTTCTTGACATTGGCTTTGGCAAATAATTTTTGGCTAAGTCCCCAAAAGCAATTGCAACTGAAGTAAAAATTGACAAGTGAGACCTAATTAAACTAAAGTGCTTCACAGCAAAAAAAAACTATCAGCAGTCAACAGACAACCTACAGAATGGGAGAAAGTATTCGGAAACTATCCCTATTACAAAGGTCTAATATCCAGAATCTATAAGGAACTTAACAAGGAAAAACAAAGAACCCCATTTAAAAATGGGCAAAGGACATGAACAGACACCTCTCAAAATAAGACAAATAAGCAGCCAATAAACATATGAAAAAATGCCCATCATCACTAATCATCAGAGAAATGAAATTAAAACCACAATGAGATAACATGTCATACCAGTCAGAATGGCTATTTTAAAAGGTCAAAAAACAACAGATGCTGGCAAGGCTTCAGAGAAAAGGGAATTCTTATACACTGTTGTGAGAATGTAAATTAGTTCCACCACAGAAATCCCATTACTGGGTATATACCCAAAGAAAAAAAAATCATTGTACTGAAAAGATACATGCATTTCCATGTTCATCACCACACTATTCACAATAGCAATGACATGGAATCAACCTAGGTGCCCATCAATTGTGGATAGGATGAAGAAAATGTGGTACTTATGAGAAAGAAAATCATGGAATAATACACAGCCATGAAATATAATGAAATCATGTCATTATCAGCAACATGGATGGAGCTGGACATTATAATCCTAAAACAATTAATGTAAGAACAGGAAACCAAATACTGCATGGTTTCACTTATAAATGGGAGCTAAACATTGAGCATACATGGACATAAAAATGGAAAAATAGACACTGCGGACTACTAGAGTGGGCCTCGGGGTGTGCCATGAGTTGAAAACTGACTTTTTGGATACTGTGCTCACTACCTGGGTGTAATATACCCATGTAACAAACCTGCATATCTACTCCCTGTATCTAAAATAAAAGTTGAATTTTTTTTTTAAGACAGAGTTTTGCTCTTGTTGCCCAGGCTGGAGTGCAATGGCGCGATCTCGGCTCACTGCAACCTCCGCCTCCCGGGTTCAAGCTATTCTCCTGCCTCAGCCTCACATGTAGCTGGGATGACAGGCACGTGCCACCACGCCAGGCTAATTTTTGTATTTTTAGTAGAGACGGGGTTTCATCGTTTTGGCCAGGCTGGTCTTGAGCTCCTGACCTCAAGTGATCCACCTGCCTCAGCCTCCCAAAGTGCTGGGATTACAGGTGTGAGCCACCACCGTGCCTGGCCAAAGTTGAAATTTTTAAAAAAGAATTTTGTCTCAGAATACAATGAGAATAAGTGTAGTACATTTAACATTTTGCATACAAAAATTAAACAATCTTAATTTGAAATGTCTGTAGGATTTTGGGTACATAGATCTTTAAATTAAATTTCCATATTAAAATCTCTTATATAGTCTGAAATTCCAAGAACCAGGATTGTGTTGTGACACGAATTTGGGCTTTGTAGAGTTGGGTTAAAATCATGGCTTCTTAATAGCTGTGTGAGATTGATTAAGTTATGTAACTACCAAGAGTCTCAATTTTACTCATCTGCAAAGTAGAAATAAAAATACCAACTCAAGGCTGGGTGCAGTGGTTCACGCCTGTAATCCCAGCACGTTGGGAGGCCGAGGCGGGCAAATCACTTGAGGTCAGGAGCTCGAGACCAGCCTGGCCAATATGGTGAAACCCCGTCTCTACTAAAAATACAAAAATTAGCCAGCTATGGTGGCAGGTGTCTGTAATCCCAGCTACTCAGGAGGCTGAGGCATGAGAATCTCTTGAACCCAGGAGATGGGGGTTGCAGTGAGCCGAGATCACACCACTGCACTCCAGCCTGGGCGACAGAGCAAGACTCCGTCTCAAAAAAAAACCCTCAAAAGATTGTTGGAAGGAATTGTATTAGATAATGTATCTAAATGCCTAGCTTATAGTAGGGTCTACAATAAAGGCTATTTCTCCTTTCTCCTTTGTGTAAATATAGTAATGAAAAGTTTTTTCCTTTTTAAAAAATTTTAAAAATATATTTTATTTTATTTTATTTTATTTTGTATTATAACTTGACGGACTCTTGCTCTATTGCCCAGGCTGGAATGCAGTGGCACAGTCATAACTCACTGCAGCCTCAAACTCCTGGACTAAAGCAATCTTCCCGCCTCAGCCTGCTGAGTAGCTGGGACTGCAGGTGCATGCTACCTCACCCAGTTAATTAAAAAAAAAAGTTATAGAGATAGAGTTTCAATTTGTTGCTCAGACTGGCCTCAAACTCCTGGCTTCATGTATTCTTCCTCCCTCAGCCTCACAAAGTGCCAGGATAACAAGTATGAGCCCAACTGAAAAGTTTTAAATGTAATTGTAAACTCTAAATACCGAAGCCTTTTAATGAAAGTGTTACAAAAAAAAGTATTCTATAATCTTCTTGAAAAATTATATTAATTGCACCCATGATTTGATTTTTGAAAAGTGGTTCATAACCAGTCGTTGATTAAACTGAGATTTAAAGTTTCTTTTTTCCATTAAAAAAAACTACTTTGTATATGCCCATTTTTTACAGATCCTAAAGTTAAATCAAAATAAAAGCCCAGGCCCAATGACTTATGCCTGTAATCTTAGCAGTTTGGGAGGCTGAGGCGGGCGGGTCACCTGATGTCAGGAGTTTGAGACCAGCCTGGCCAACATGGTGAAACCCTGTCTCTATTAAAAATACAAAAATTACCCGGGCGTGGTGGTACATGCCTGTAATCCCAACCACCCAGGAGGCTGAGGCAGGAGAATCACTGGAACCTGGCAGACAGAGGCTGCGGTGAGCCAAGATCCCGCCACTGCACTCCCGCCTGGGTGACAGAGCAAGACTCTGTCTCAAAAAATAAAATAAAATAAAATAAAATAAAAACAGTAGCAAACAAATACACATTTGCATTTATATATGTAAACACACATATACATACACTATACACACGAAAATATATCAAACTAAAATATCCACTTGATGTGTTAAGCACCACTGGCCAGTTTTAATTTTTTTTTTTTTCCTGAGACAGGGTTTTGCTCTGTTGCCCAGGCTGGAGTGCAGTGGCATGATCATGGCTCACTGTAGCCTCGAACTCCTGGGCTCAAGCAATCCTCCAGCCTTGGTCTCCCAAAGCACTGGGATTACAGGCGTGAGCCATGGCACACAGCCTGAAATTTCATATAAACAATTTAACCATGCTAGAACTATTTCAATCGTTTATTTATATAGTTGAAGCACTTTGAAAGTGAGGATAATTACTTACAAGCATTTCATTTTATTAACTTAAACATTCTTTAATGTTCTTTTTTTTGTAAATAACTTTCATTTACAACATTTCCAAATAAATATTTGTATAGCCCGACTATTTAATAAATATCCACAAGATGGTGCCATGGTTAACATGTTAACATGGGAATTTAAGAATTAAAACGTAGAAGTGTTTGACGCATCATTGTATATGACAAAATTACCATCAATTTTTATGCTCTTATTATAATAATACTCACTTATGCATTTCAGATGTTCAAATTACTGCATTTCATTACCAAAATTTTTTATTATTTGTAAACATATATTTCCTCATATGGAATATTAAGTAATAAAATGATATGCAAGTTGCAAACACAAACATAAATTGGACCTTTTATACTTCATAGATTAATGGGTATGTTTTTAATGATCTCCTCAATTTTTAATGCCAAGATTTAAAATAATATTCAAATGGCATCCCATTAACTAGTTTATGTTAAACCTAGTTATTGGCAAGGTCTTTGCTAGCTACAGACTGAACTGAATCCCTCCTAGATTCATTTGTTGAAGTCCTAACCCTCGATGTGATATTTGGAGATGAGACTTTTGGGAGGTAAATTTAATCAGTTCTTGAGAGTGGAGTTCTCATGATGGAATTAGTGCCTTTATAGGAAGAGACACCAGAGAGCTTGCTTTCTCTCTCTCCACCATGGAGAACATAGCCAGAAGATAGCCATCTGCTTGCCAGGAGGAGATCCCTTACCAGAAACTGACTGTGCTGGCACACTGATGTCAGACTCTCAGCCTTCAGTACTGTGAGAAGATAAATGTCTGGGCCAGGTGCAGTGGCTCATGCCTGTAATCCTAGAACTTTGGGAGGCTGAGGCAGGAGGATCACATGAGGCCAGGAGCTCGAGACCAGCCTAGGCAACATAGTGAGACCCCCGTCTCTACAAAAAAAAATTTTTTTAATTAGCCTAGCATGGTAGCTCACACCTGTAGTCCCAGCTCTTTGAAGGCTGAGGCAGGAAGATCGCTTAAGCCCTAGAGTTCAAGGCTGTCATGATTGCCACTGCATTCCAGCCTGGACAACAAAGTGAGACCCTTTCTCTAAACCAAAACAACAAAACAAAACAAAAAATAACAAGAATGCTACAAAGTCTTGTGTACCCCTCACTCAAATTCCCTACTTGTAAATGTTCTGCTACTTAAAAAAAAAATCATCTTTCTCCCTTTCACTTTCTCTCTCTCCCTACATGCACACACATACATACATATTTAGGATATATAAGTATATTTGTGCATGTACGGATAGAATTTCCTGAGTCACTTGAGATTGAGAGTTATAATGTTCCAAAATACTTCTGTGTATATTTCCTAAGAATAAGAAAACTCATGCTTCTATATTCACAATACAATCAGCAAATTTAGGAGATTTAACATCAATACATTAGTATTATCTAATATACAGTCCATGTTCAATTTTTGCCAATTTTCTAGTAATGTTTCTTATGGCATTTTTTTCCCTTGATTCACAATTTAATCTAGGCTTACACCTTGCATTTTGTTGCTACAGCTCTTTCATCTCCTTTTAATCTGGAATGATTTTCATCCTTTCTTTGTCTTTCATGATACTGATATTTTTAAAGCATACAGCCCAGTTGTCTTGCAAAATATCCCTCAATTTTGATTTGTCTGATGTTTCCTCATGATTAGATTCATGTTATACATTTTTGGCCAAATACTACATGATATGGTTTGGCTCTGTGTCCCTACCCAAATCTCATGTCAAATTGTAATTTCCAATGTTGAGGGGGTGGACCTGGAAAGAAGGTGATTGGATCATGGGGGTGGATTTCCCCCTTGCTGTTCTTGTGATAGTGAATGAGTTCTCATGAGATCTGGTTGTTTAAAAATGTGTAGCACTTCCTGCTTCACTAGCTCTCTCCTGCCGCCACGTGAAGATGGGCTTGCTTCCCTTCCATCATGATTGTAAGTTTCCTGAGACTTCCAGAGCCATGCTTTTTGTACAGCCTGTGGAACTACGAGTCAATTAAACCCTTTTCTTTGTAAATTACCCAGTCTCAGATAGTTCTTTATAACAGTGTGAGAATGAACTAATACAATACATAAGTGATCATGTCAGTTTGCCCCATAATCTGTAAGTAATTTGTAAGGACATAGTTGGAGACTATGTAAATATATTGTTTCTCTTCAATCTTCCTTCCTTCCTTCCTTCTTTCCTTCCTTGCTTCCTTTCTTTCTTTTTTCTTTCTTTCTTTTTCTTTTTGTTTTTTGAGACAGGGTCTTGCTCCATCACTCAGGCTGGAGTGCAGTGGCACAATCTCAGCTCACTGCACCCTCTATTTCCTGGGTTCTAGTGATCCTCCTGCCTCAGCCTCCTGAGTAGCTGAGACTACAGGCATGCACTGCCATGCCTGGCTAATTTTTGTATTTTTTGTAGAGATGGGGTCTCACTATGTTGCCCAGGCTGGTCTCAAACTCCTGGGCTCAAGTGATCCACCCACCGTGGCCTCTCAAAGTGCTGGGATTACAGGCGTGAGCCACCATGCCTGGCCCAAACTTTCATTGAATAGTTTTAGCATCCATGGATGATTCTTGCCTGAACCAGTTATTACTATAATTCTTGCAAAAAAGTGATTTTTCTTTCTTTTTTTGAGACAGGGTTTCCCTCTCATCACTCAGGCTGGAGGGCAGTGGCATGCTGTCAGCTCACTACAGCCTCTGCCTCCTGGGCTCAAGTGATCCTCCTGCCTCAGCCTCCCAAGTAGCTAGACTATATATGTGCCACCATGCCTAGCTCATTTTTGTATTTTTAGTAGAGACAGGGTTACATCATGTTGGCCAGGCTGGTGATATGCTGACCTCAAGTGATCTGCCCGTCTCGGCCTCCCAAAGTGCTGGGATTACAGACATGAGCCACCATGCCCAGCCAAAAGTGATTTTCCTAACACTCTTATTTCTCCTATATTTATTACTTATCATTCTCCTGTAGGGAAGGGCTTTCCCTTCTGTCTTATTTGTTATCATAAAATAATAGGCCAGGCATGGTGGCTCATGCCTGTAATCCCAGCACTTTGGGAGGCCAAGGCGGGCAGATCACAAGGTCAAGAGATCAAGACCATCTGGCCAACATGGTAAAACCCCGTCTCCACTAAAAATACAAAAATTAGCTGGGTGTGGTGGTGAACACCTGTAGTCTCAGCTACTCGGGAGGCTGAGGCAGGAGAATCGCTTGAACCCAGGAGGCGGAGGTTGCAGTGAGCCGAGACCACACCACTGCACTCCAGCCTAGCGAGAGTGTAAGACTCTGTCTCAAAAATAATAATAATAGTAATTTATTATTTATTAATAATAAGAACATTTGTATTAATTATTTTTATATTTACTTTTTCCTATAGGTTATAATCCATTGTTATCCTTATTCATTTTGATGTTCAAATTGTCTCTGATTTGGCCTGTGGGAGCCCCTTCAATTTGGCTTTGTGTTTTTTTTTTTGGCACGTACGCATCCTTTTTTTTAGCACTTTCTTACTCTGACATATCAAGATGCTCCATACTCGGCTTTTACTTTCCAGCCTCAGCCCTGGGCTCTACCATTTTTATTGCTACTGGAGTATCACTGCTATTAGGCCCTTGTAGGAACAGAGCTGAAGGAAATGGTAATTTCATATTGTTCAACCAAGTATATACACATATATGTTCCCACAATCAGAACCCTGACTACCCACAGCATCATAGCATCAATGTATTTACTCATTTACTCAATCCAGCAATACACATAAAGTAGTTAAGAATTATTATACCCATAACAGTAGAAAAATAACCCAACAAACCTGCCAAAAGAGATTAAATTTTTTTGAGAGTTCTCTTTGTTTTTAGACTGCAGTCATATAGTCAAAGAACTGGGTTCAAAAGTTACCTAGATTATTTTTTTCTCTTTAGAGTAGTTATGTTATCCATTTGGAATATAGTTCGCTTGGTTTTTTTTGCTTGCATTCAATTCTGGGGGTTTATTCCTATTTTTCTTGATTTTATTTTATCTCTTGAAGTACAAAATATTAACACGATTCCAAAAGTCAAAAATGTATTAAAAGGTATACTCAAAGAAGTGTTATTTCCTTATCTATTGCTGTCCAAAACTGACTGGGTTAAAACAATAATCATTCACTGTCTCTCACACTTTCAGTGGACCAAGAATTTGGGAGCAGCTTGTTGTGGCTTGAGATTTCTTATGAAGTTGTAGTCAGATATTGGTTAGGGTTGCAGCCATCTTAAGACTTGACTGGGGCTGGAAGATCTGCTTGTAAAGTATCTTATTCACTCACATGGCAGCTTGGTGCTCATTGGTTTCTCTCTACGTAGGCCTTTCCCTGGGGCTGCTTGAGTGTTTTCACAACATAGTGGCTGGCTTCCCCAAGAGAAAAAGACCAAAGTAAATCTGAGACCAAAAGAGAAGCTGCAATGCCTCGTATCACCTAGCCTTGGAAATTACACATATTGTTAGCTCCATCATATTCTAGTGGTGGAACATACCAGCCCTGATTCAGAGTGAGAGAAGACTGCAAAAGAGCATGAATACCAGGAGGTGGACATCACTGGGGGCCATCATGAAGGCTGTCTACCATACCCTACCTAACCCTTTCACCTTATTTTCTCCCACCAATCCTAGGTAGTCAATTATGTCAGTTATTTGTTTGTTTGTCATATGCTTCTCTTTTTTGTAAAAATAAGGAGATATGAGTATATTCTCTTATTTATACTTCTTTCTTACACAAAAGGTAACATATTTACTCTTCTTACAGTTTATTTTTTTCCACATTACACTATATCCTGGAAACCCCTCCATTTTGGTTCATACAGATCTTTATTCGCTTTTACAACTACATACTCTGTTGCGTGGATGTACCACAATTTATTCAACTAATCTCCTATGTATGAGTATGTAGGTTTGTTTCAGTATTCTGTAATTATAAATAAGGGAGCAACATATAACCTTGTACATATGTATTTTTGTATTGTTGGAGATGTGTCATTAGGGCAAATTCCTAGACATGGAATTGCTACTCAAAGGATAAATGTATTCTTAACTTGTTAGATATTGCCATATTATCCTCTATAGGGAAGGTACTATTTTTTTTTTAGATGGAGTCTCACATTGTCCCCCAGGCTGTAATGCAGTGGTGTGATCTCAGCTCACTGCAACGTCCGCCTCCCAGGTTCAAGCGATTTTCCTGCCTTAGCCTCCCAAGTAGCTGGGACTACAGGCGTGTGCTATCATGCCCAGCTAAGTTTTTGTATTTTTAGTAGAAACAGGGCTTCTCCATGTTGCCCAGGCTGGTCTCGAACTCCTGACCTCAAGTTATCTGCACACCTCTGCCTCCCAAAGTGCTGGGATTACAGACGTCACCCATCACACCCGGCTGGGAAGATACCATTTTGCATTCCCATCAACAAAATATGAGAGCGCTTGTTTCCTGATAGCCTCTCTAACACATTGTGTTGAAAAGCTTGTGATGTTTGGTCAATTAGACAGGTGAGAAATGGTATCAGAGTGTAGTTTTTGACCTCAAAGATTCCCCTAAATATTTCTTGTAGTGCAGGTCTGCTAGCCATGAATTTTCTCAATTTTTGTTTATTTGGGAATGACAAGTTCTCCTTCAGTTTTGAAAGATGGTTTTGCTGGATATAGAATTCTTGTCAGACAGTCTTTTTATTTTAGCACTTTAAATATGTCACCCCATGTCTTCTCACTTCCATGGTTTCTTATAAGGAATCAGCAATTAATTTTATTGAGGATACCTTTTACATGATAAGTTGCATCTCCTTGGCTGTTTTCAGTATTCTCTATTTGTCTTTCAATAGTTTGATTATGATGTGTCTAGGTGTGGATCTCTTTGAATTTATTCTACTTGGAGTCCATATAGCTACTTCAATATGTAGATATGTTTTTAATGTTTTTTAATAACATTTGGAAAGTTTTCAGCTATTATTTCTTCAAATATTTTTTCTTGCCTGGAAAGAATACTTGAATATTTTATTTCACTTCTTCTAGAATTGCCATTATGCATACGTTGATCTTCTTGATGGTGTTCCACAGGTCTCTGAAACTCTATTTATTTTTGTTCATTCTTCTTTCTTTCTGTTCCTCAAACCAGATAATCTCAATTGTGCATTCTCATATTCACAATGGTATATATACATAATGCATAATGGCAGTCCCAGAAGGGAAGAAGAAAGAGAAAGGAGCAGAAAAAATTCTTGAAGAAATAATGGCCCAAAATTTCTGAAATTTGACTCCAAAACATTAGTTTACACATTAAAGAAGCTTAATGGACTCTAAGTAGGGTTAACTCAAAGAAATCCACACCTAGACACAATCATAGGCTTCTGTAAGCCAGGTTTATGTTTCCTTTGGCAACACAACTTCCCAAAATACTTTAGGAAATATTTAGCAGATTTCCGACTTGCTTCCAAAAAGCTCTATGTGCTAATAATCACACTGCAAAATTGTTTTCTCAAGACTAATTTATTTGCATATTTGTCTGTACAAGACCTATCCTCTCCTAATTTAATGGCAGCTATCTTGAGTCCATTTAAATTAATAACAGGCTTGGGTGGGAAGGCACCATCTTTAATCTAATCTTTGCAGATATACTAGCTGCAATTTTTCTGGAAGAGAAATCTAAATGGAAGAAGCTTGAGAAAATGCTGGGGCCTTATACTCTCTTGTCTGGGGGAACATGAGCACTTGAGTTTTTTTAACTTTCTTGGGCATGAGTAGTTTAGATTTTAGTCCACTGGCAGAAAGACTCCTTTAACAGAACTGAATTTTCTTTCATATCTGTTTGAAAATTGGCCAATTCTTGCCTGAATTCATTGCTTTCTTATATCTTGCTACAAACAGCAATGAAGAGCCAATACACATTACATTCTGATATTTTCTAACTCGTTCATCTAGAAATTCAGGGTCTGTTAGCACACAGTTGTACTTCCATGATATCAGAGGCAACAATTTTATGAAGTATTTTGCCACAGTATACAAAGATAATCAGCTTTCCAGCATGCAATTGTTTCCTTTCCATGAACTGCTAGACTATTAAGCAGACACTGCTTATTTGAGTAATTTTGCCATAGCATCAGCCATTTTTAATATTAAATACTCTGTCAGTCAGGGTTTGGTCCAGTTAACAGAAGTGACACTAGACATTTTAAGCAGGAAGTGATTTAATGTAGGGAGTTAGGTGCTTACAAAATCTTTGGAGAGTTGAGGGGGCAGCTGCTTAACACCTAGAATATCTACCAAAATAAGTCTGACATGCTACACTGGGAGACAACTACCACTGAGACCACCATTGCATCTATGCTTTAAAAAACTGCTGCCACAGCTGTCTCTTAGCCAAAGAAGGTAAAGAATGAGTATTAACACAGCAAACTAGAGATTACAAAGTATGAGTTCAGGTAGAGAAACCTTGCCATGACTACTGCTTCTTTACTCACAGGGTCAAAGACACTGGAATGCTATTACAGAAAGCTGTACATTTACAAATCTTACTTTTTAGCGGCAATAGACCAGACCTATAGCTAATAGCAACTGTAATACTTCCACCTTCCAACTCTCATTTGGGTGTATTTGATTGATGGAACCTCATCCGTGTCTAGAACTCTAGCTGCAAAAGGAATCTGGGAGAAGTATTTTTGAAAGCTTTCCAACCTCTCCAAATACACAGTTTGAGAAAACTAGTCTAAAAGAGTTACCATAGTCCATTAACATGGCTAATTTCAATAACAAATTTATTTACATTGCTAAGATAAGTCCATTTAATCATGTTGCAGTTTTTTAATACATGTTGGATTTAGTTATTTAGGATTTTTACATCTATTTTCTTAAATGAAATTGGTTTGTAAATTTTTCAATACTATCCTTACATGTATGCTGTGTCAAAGTTATTCTTATCTCAAAAAGAATTAGCTTTCCCTCTATTTCTACGTTCTATTCTTGGAAAGTTTGATAGAACTCTACCGTTTGACACTAGCATTGGGAACGAGAAAATGGGGAAGAAGGGGAGCTGATTTCTATTTCATCATCTTTATATGTTATTTGTTTATGAAAGTTCTGCTATATGTTGTACTATTTTTTCCAGTTAAAAAATCATTCCAGGAATTTATTTATCTAAATTTTCAAATATTTTGGCAAATAGGTCTCACTCTGTCACCCAGGCTGGAGTGTAGTGGTGCAATCTGGGCTCACTGCAACCTCCACCTCCAGGGCTCAAGTGATCCCGATCTCCCTACTTGGGACAACTACAGTGAGCACTACCATGCCTGGCTAATTTTTGCTTTTTTTTTTTTTTTTTTTTTTTTGTAGAGACATGGTTTTGCCATGTTGCCTAAGTTGGTCTCAAACTTCTGAGCTCAAGTGGTTGCCTACCTTGGCCTCCCAAAGTGCTGGGATTACAGGTGTGAGTCACCACATCTGGCTTCATCATTTCTTATACAAGTTTAAAATCTTGGTTTTATCTGTGGTTGTTTTTTCTTTTTCTTTTTTTAGGTTACAAAGAGACATATTTACTTCCTAGAACCTGTTGATTTCTCCAATGTGGATAGATGGGAGTTTAAAAAAAAGTTATTGGGCCAGGCATGGTTGCTTGAGCTCAGGAGTTCAAGAGCAGCCTGGGCAACACAGTAAAACCCCCATCTCTACAAAAAATACAAAATTAGCAGGGCATTGTAGCACGTGCCTATAGTAACCCCTACTCAGGACGCTGAGGTGGGAGAATGGCTTGAGCCTGGTGGGGGCAGAGGTTGCAGTGAGCAGAGATTGTGCCACTGCAACCCAGCCTGAGTGACAGAGCCAGATCCTGTCTCAAAAAAAAAAATTAATTAATGATTGTGCTTCTAAAGGTGCAGGGTTACATTCCACCGTCTAGAAAGCAAGGCAATGTTCACATAGCTTCGAGTTATCTTGTTTATATCGTAGAAACCAGAACAAATTCTATGGGACCACCCTGCCCCCCAGCCCCAACCAGCAGAACCGGCAGGAGAAGTCCGCAGCCATCTTTGGATAGGGCACGTGTGTGTGTGCATGCATGTGTGCATGTGCTGGAGAGACTCAGGCATAAAGACTCAAGTGAGATGGGGAAAGTGAGTCTCTTGGCTGCTCCAGTCCCTTCTTTCCAGGCACAAAGAAGTTGAACTTGTTAGTCACATAGGTCTCCTTCATCTCACAACAGCTTTCAGTAAGTGTGTGTGTGTGTGCATGTATGGGTGTGTGTGACAGAGTCTTTAAGTCCCTGTGCATTCCTAAATTTCAATAATTTAGGTTTGCAGTTTCAACAGAAATCTGTTAATGACATTTAAAAGCAAATTTGCTAGTTACATCTGCAACTTTACATTGCTTAATATCCTATGTCATATAAAAAAAGTCCCCCTGGGTACAGGCAAAATTATGTCTTACAAACCACTGGAACTTGTCTTTATCAGCTATATGAAGAAAATTCACAGGTTGTTTATTTTATCTCTTCATTTTAAGGTAGCAACATATTAAGCATTAGGTTATTACATCTGTAACATCCCACAAGGATTTTATGACTACCCTGTGTTATTTAATTAATTTTCCCAGACTCTGGTATGATGTATTCAATTTGCATTAGACTGCTTCCTTTCCCTCTTAGGCATTTGGTCCCCAAAGTTAGGTAGCTAAAAGTATCATTTGAAAAAAATATAAGAGACTTCACCTCTTTGCCCAGGCTGGTCTTGAACTCCTGGGCTCAAATGATCCACCTGCCTCAGCCTCCAAAGTCATGGGATTACAGATGTGAGCCACCACAACTGGCCAAATGTATCATTTTTAAGGACTTTACCTGTTGGAGAATTTCCCGGTTGGTTCTCCTGGAGAGCACGCACCAGGCCTGGAGCAGTTTGATGTTATAATACCAATCAGTGGGGAGAGAAGAGATGTATACCCCAAAGCCAAGGTGTGTCCAGGTGTAAGACAGCAGTATCTTCTAGGGGGCCCAAGGGGAAAGTTCTGACTGGACCCTGAGAAGGGGCACTGGAGCTCCATTTAGATGACCTGTGTCCTTCCAATGCCAGTTATCCCCAAGAGGACCCCAAACCTGAGCCTGCCCTGAGAAACACAGATGTCCTACTGCCTAGAGGAGCTAACACTGAGGTCTGGGATGAGCTAACACTGAATTCACCGCATAGCTCTCAGAACCCAAATTTTGTACAAGTACACACAGGAAGTAAACAGTTCTTGGTGAGCCCAAAGAGGCCCACCCTTAAATAAACAAGAAGCCACATGCCCCCTCACTGTTTTTCAAAGAAACATATCTGCTCCCTCCAACCAGCAACCATGTATGGAGAAGGAATAGGGGCAGTGGAAGGACACAGCTCAAATGAAGACATTGCAAATGAATTTCTACAGCTATCTACATTCATATCATCATCATCCAGTGTTCTTGTCTACAGAGAGTGAGCATAACATTCTACCCATGCTCCTGGCGGACGGGCAAAGCTGAACATAAGCCTTCCAGGGCACAACAGCAGAAAGAAAATCTTGCACTTTGTTGCAAAGGACTTCACACTATTCCATCCCCTCTACTGTTATCCGAGGGGCATCTTGACTCTTCCAAAATCAGATGTAAAAGACAGGGTCAGTAAAATTGGTCTCTATGGGGGCTGGGCACGGTGGCTCACGCCTGTAATCCCAGCACTTTGGGAGGCTGAGGCGGATGGATCACCTGAGATCAGAAGTTCAAGACCAGCTTGGTCAATATGGTGAAACCTCATCTCTACTAAATATACAAAAATTAGCTGGGCGTGGTGGCTATCGCCTGTAATCCCAGCTACTCCGGAGGCTGAGGCAGGATAATTGCTTGAACCCGGGAGAATTGCTTGAACCCGGTTGCAGTGAGCCGAGATCGCGCCATTGTGCTCCAGCCTGGGCAACAAAAGCGAAACTTCATCTCAAAATAAATAAATAAATAAATTGGTCTCTATGCCATCTGAAACTATGATTAGCCATCGTGCCTGAACATGGCACTTTTTAAAAGATTTTTTTTTCTAAGTAAAATGGCCCCCAAAGAACACAATAATTTTTTTAAAGGTGGGTTATTTTTAATTTTAAAAAACCAGATAAAAATGAAAGATGTGAAGTATGGAAAGCAGAACAAGAGAGCTGTGATTGTTTTCTGATTTTAATTCTATATTCTCTCCCTTTCTCTCTTTTTTTCTCTTTTTACTGATTTCTTTTGATCGGTTCTGCTTTAGTGTGCCATTTCATTTGTATTCTCAATGTACTAAAGCAATAGGGAATCACCAGCCAGTAAAAACCCAGTCTCCCCAATGTGGATCACACTTTCATTGGTGTTGGACTTGCATAAAGCAACACGGAAGAGAAAGGAGTGCAATTAGAAATCTCTCTTCTATCTTGTCCCTTGTCTGTGGTCCCTAGTCCCCTTTGACTACAGGACATTCTTTCTCCTACACTTTGTAGGAGAAATCTCTCTGAAGTTTCTTTATAGCTCTTGAGTTAGTTGATGAGAATGGATCTGAGATCTATCAAGTCCCCTTTCCTGTGGCCTTTCTAGTACAGCATTTAATGGAGACAGCCAGTGGATCAATTAGAGTCTATCAGAGACAATGCTTATACTGGTTATTTATATATAAAGACTTATTTATTTATTTATTTATTTATTTATTTATTTATTTATTTTATTTTTCTGAGATGGAGTCTCACTCTGTTACCCAGGCTGGAGTGCAGTGGTGCGATCTCGGCTCACTGCAACCTCCACCTCCTGGGTTCAAGCAATTGTCCCCCCTCAGCCTCCCGAGTAGCTGGGATTACAGGCACCCGCCATCACGCCGGGGTAATTTTTGTATTTTTGTACAGATGAGGTTTCACTATGTTGGCCAGGCTGGTCTTGAACTCCTGACCTCAGGTGATCTGCCGGCTTTGGCCTCGCAAAGTTCTGGAATTACAGGATGAGCCACCATGCCTGGTCAGGTTATTTATACATAAAGAATTTAATATAAAGATTTTTATCTAGGTAACCGAAAGGGCAACAGAGAACTGTAAGGTATGCCGGAAGTAGCAACTGCAGGAAGCTGCTGTCACTCCTAGGGCTGAAAGAACACAGAGAAGAGATGAGAATTACTAAAATGTGGAAACTTGAAGAATGAGTGCCACAAAGATAGACTCAGACACCTGAGGAGGCAGTATTGCTTGACTGCTACTGGTAACTCTTGAGTTTGAATAGGGGCCTCACAGGCCTGGGACCCAAACCTCTGAAAAGGGGCATCCACAGGCTGAAGCTAGTACCTTTGGGGAGAAAAAAGAACAATGAAGCTGGGTTTGCAAGTGTTGGAATAACTGCATCCTGGATTTAGTTGAGGTGATGGGAAGGAACTCCTGTCGTGGGTGAAGAATTACTGGGATGCCACTCGTGGGAAATGTAGGCAGACAGAGGCTCACAGAAGCCGAAACAGAACAAATAGAAAAGAGCAAGTTTCTTCTTTCTCCTGCATCTTTGTAGCCCTCCTCAGTCACCAGCTATGGTAGAACCACTTTTAATCTCCTGAAAGTTTTCTCACAGTTCTTATGTTAGTTGTTGAGAATTGTCCTGAAATCTACCAGCTACCTAGTTAAGGTTTGCAGAATCACAGAAATAGCCTCACAAAGCATAGTGTAGATTCTACACTGTAGAAGAATAGATTTGGAGCTTAGGGATAGTAAGGTAATAACTGAGACAGCCAGCAACTACAACTAGTTCACCATCCTTTATGACAGGGGTCCCCAACCCCTGGGCCATGGACCAGTACTTGGTGGCCTGTTAGGAACAGGGCCATGCAGCAGGAGACAAGTGGCAGGCAAGCGAGCATTACTGCCTGAGTTCTGCCTCCTGTCAGATCAGCCACAGCATTAGATTCTTACAGGAGCGCGAACCCTATTGTGAACTGCGCGTGTGAGGGATCTAGGTTGTGCGCTCCTTAGGGGAGCCCCCACCCCCCGCCCTGCGGAAAAATTGTCTTCCACGAAACTAGGTCCCTGGTGTCAAAAAGTTTGGGGACCGCTGCTCTATGAAATCACAAATTCAGAGTCTGAATGTAATGGTTAATGCCACAGCTAAGATTCTATAGAAAGAATGATAATGCTACAAGAGTGAGACTATTTCACTTCCTTTGGCTATAACTCTTTGTATCAGTCTGTCTTGTAGGCATGGCTTTGCAAACATGATTGAAATAAACAAAGGAGTTGGCCACCTACCATACCCTTGGACATTACTTAGACAGGTATTGCTACTATTTGCTTTTTTTCTATGCTCTTGGATGACATATCCTGTTTCTAATATTCTTTTTTTAGATTCGTTAATACATTTAATAAATAAGGCCTAACTGGTCTAACAGCCTTTGTTGTATAGCATTGGCTCTGCCTGCTGAACAGAAACTTCAATATCTGTAGAAGTCGTTCCAGAATCTCAATATATGAAAGGATCAGACAGTAATTTAGTTCAGAGCAATGCTTTTCAAATTCTGTACAGTGAAAAATTGGTTTTATTTCTTATTGATCATATACCAATACTTTTTTTTTTTTAATTCGAGACAGAGTCTTGCTCTGTTGTCCTGGCTGGAGTTCAGTGGTGCCGTCTCGTCTCACTGCAACCTCCACTTCCCAGGTTCAAGTGATTATCAGCCTCCTCCTGAGTAGCTGAGATTACAGGTGTGCACCACCACACCTGGCTAATTTTTTTTTTTTTTTTTTTAGACAGAGTCTCACTCTGTTACCCAGGCTGGAGTGCAATGGTGTGATCTCGGCTCACTGCAACCTCCACCTCCCGGGTTCAAACAATTCTTCCTGCCTCAGCCTCCCAAGTAACTGGGATTACAGGTGCCTGCCACCACGCCCAGCTAATTTTTTGTATTTTTAAGTAGAGAGGGTTTCGCCATGTTGTCCAGGCTGGTCTCGAACTCCTGACCTCAAGCGATCTGCCTGCCTCAGCCTCCCAAAGTGCTGGGATTACAGATGTGAGCCAACATGCCTGGCCACCTGACTAATTTTTTATGTTTTTAGTAGAGACAGGGTTTCGCCATGTTGGCCAGGCTGGTCTAGAACTCCTGGACTCAAGTGATCCACCTGCCTCGGCCTCCCGAAGTGCTGGGATTACAGGTGCTTATCTGTCATATACCAATACTTTTGAAAACTAAATAAATACACATTAGCTAAAAAAAGAATGGTAAAAGAGATATACAAAAAGCAAGCTAATTTTTATTATTATATTTGTCAGACATAAAATTATATTAATATTTCAATAAATATAACCAGTACAAACATCAAATATGAATAAGAGAAAATGTTTAATATATTTTTCTTTACATATTACATTGGCTATAATTTCCACTAAAATATTGACTAGTAGTGGTAAGAGATGGCTTCCTTGAATAGAATACAGACCCAGAAATGAAGCCACATACCTGCAGCCATTTTATCTCTGACAAGACTGACAAAAACGAGCAATGGGGAGAGGACAGGGTATGCAATAAATGGTGCTGGAATAACTGGCTAGCTGTATACAGAAGAAAGAAACAAGACCCTTACCTTTCACCATATACAAAAATTAACTCAATGTGGATTAAAGATTTAAATGAAAGACCACAAACTAGAAAAATCCTTCAAGAAAACCTAGGAAATATCCTTCTTGTCATTGGTCTTGGCAAATAATTTTTGGCTAAGTCCCCAAAACCAATTGCAACCAAAACAAAAACTAACAAGTGGGACCTAATTAAACTAAAGGGCTTCTGTACAGAAAAAAAACTATCAACAGAGTAAACAGACAACCTACAGAATGGGAGGAAATATTTGCAAACTATGCATCTGACAAAGGTCTAATGTCCATAATCTATAAGGAATTTGGCAATTGAACAAGCAAAAAGCAAATAACCCCATAAAAAATGGGCAAAGGGCAAGGTGCGGTGGCTCACACCTGTAATCCCAGCACTTTGGGAGGCTGAGGTGAGCAGATCACCTGAGGTCAAGAGTTCGAGACCAGCCTGGCCAAGATGGCAAAACCCCATCTCTACAAAAAATACAAAAATTAGCTGGGCATGGTGGCACACACCTATAGTCCCAGCTACTTGGGAGGCTGAAGCATGAGAATCACTTGAACCTGGGAAGCAGAGGTTGCAGTGAGCTGAGACTGTACCACTGCACTCCAGCCTGGGCGATAAGAGTGAGACTCTGTCTCAAAAAAAAAAAAAAAGGCAAAGTACATGAACAGACACTCTCAAAAGAAGACATACAATCGGCCAGTAAACATGAAAAAATGCTCCACATCACTAATCATCAGAGAAATGTAGCAAATCAAAACTGCAATGAGATACCATCTCACACCAGTCAGAATGGTTATTATTAAAAAGCAAAGGTCAGGCACAGTGGCTCATGCCTGTAATCCCATACTTTGGGAGGCTGAGGCAGGAGGATCACTTGAGTCCACGGGTTCACGACCAGTCTGAGTAACATAGTGAGACCCCATCTCTACAAAATAAAAATAAAAATAAATTAGCTGGGTGCAGCAGTGCACCCCTATAATCCCAGCTACCTGGGAGGCTGAGGTGGGAAGATCACTTGAGCCCTGAAGATTAAGGCTGAAGTGACCCATGATCATGCCACTGCACTCCAGCCTGGGCAACAGATCAAGAACCCTGTCTTAGGAAAAAAAAAAAAAAAAAAAAAAATCAGATGTCGGCCAGGCTCTGAAGAAAAGAGAATGTAACTGTTGCTGGGAATGTAAATTTGTTCAGCTACTGTGGAAAGCAATTTGGAAATTTCTCAAAGAACTGAAAACAGAACTACTATTTGACGCAGCAATCCCATTACTGGGTATACATCCAAAAAGAAATAAATTATTCTATCAAAAAGAAACATGCACTCACATGTTCATTACAACACTATTCACAAAAGCAAACACATGGAATCAATCTAGGTGCCCATCACTGGTGGTTTAAGAAAACATAGTACATATACACTGCGGCATACAATGCAGCCATTAAAAAAGAACAAAATCATGTCCTTTGCATCAGCATGAATGCAGCTGGAGGTCATTATCCTAAGTGAATTAATGTAGGAACAGAAAAGCAAATATATGTTCTCACTTATAAGTGGTAGCTAAACACTGGACACTCACAGACATTAAGATGGCAACAATAGAAACATGAGACTACTAGAGGGGGCAGGGAGGGAGGGAGGCAAAGATTGAAAAGCTATTGAGTACTGTGTTCAGTACTTAGGTGACAGGATCCATCATACCCCAAACTTCAGCATCACACAATATACCCAGGTAACAAATCTGCACATGTACCCCTGAATCTAAAATAAAACTATTTGCAAATACACTGTTAAACATTTTGCATTTGTGTTCATGAAGACTATTGGTCTATAGATTCCTTGTGATGTCTTTTTCTGGTTTTGGTATCAGAGTAATATTGTCTTCATGAGTTAGAAGTGTTCCTTCTTCTATTTTCTGAAAGAGTTTATATGTAATTGGCATTATTTCTTCTTTAACTGTTTTATAGAATTTATCAGTGATTCTATCTGAACCTGTGTGTATACATATATATACAATTATATGTGTGCGTGTAATTGTTTTATTACTGATTTATTTCCTTGTTATATGTCTATTCAGATTTTCTGTTACTTCTCAGGTTAGTTTTGATAATTTGTGCTTCTCTAGGAATTTGTCTATATCATCTAAATTGTCTAATTTGGCATAAAGTTGTTTTTCTTTATTTTTTTTTCTTTTGAGACAGAGTCTCACTGTCGCCCAGGCTGGAGTGTGATGGCACCATCTTGGCTCACTTCAACCTCTGTCTCCCAGGTTCAAGCGATTCTCCTCCTGAGTAGTTGAGATTACACGCATGTGCTACCATGCCCAGTTAATTTTTGTATTTTTAGTACAGATGGGGTTTCAACATGTTGGCCAGGCTGGTCTTGAACTCCTGGGCTCAAGTTATCCACCCACCTTGGCCTCCCAAAGTGCTGGGATTATAGGTGTGAGCCACAACACCCAACCAGTTCACAATAATCCCTTTAACCCTGATTTTTTTTTTTTTTTTTTTTTTTTTTTTGTAGGATTGCCAGTTGGTGGCATATCCCTTCCTTCATTCCTTATTTTGGTAATTTGGGTCTTTTTTCTCTGTCAATCTAGCTAAAGGTTTAATAATTTTGTTGATCATCTTAAAGAATCAAATTTTGTTTTCACTGATTTTTAAAGTTGTTTTTTATGTTCTGTTTCATTGATTCTCTCTGCTCTTTATTATTTTCTTCCTTTTGCTTTCTTTGGGTTTAATTCATTTTGTTTGTTTTGTAGGTTGTATCTTAGATATTGTCTTGAAATCTTTACTTTTTTCTAATATATGTGTTTAAAGCTACATTTTCATCTTGGCCCTGTTTTATCTAAAAATTTTAGTGTGTTATGTTTTCATTTTCATTACCTTCAAAATGTTTTCTAATTTCTCTTGTGATTTCTTCATTGACCCATGAGTTATTTAAAATTATTTTGTTTAATTTCAAATGTTTGGGGATTTCCCAAATTTCTTTCTGCTGTTGGTTTCTAATTTAATTCTATGGATTGGCAAGCATGTGTTTAATGATTACAATCCTTTTGAATTTGGGAACTTGTTTTATATGACCATATGATCTAGCATATGGTCAGTACTGAAAAATAGTCTATGTGTGCTTGAAAAGAAGGTGTATTTTTTTTTTTTTTTGAGACAGAGACTGTTCTGTTGCCTAGGCTGGAGTACAGTGGTATAATCACAGCTCACTGCAGCTTCGACTTCCCAGGCTCAAGTGATCCTATGGCCTCAGCCTCCTGAGTAGCTGGGACTACAGGTGTGAGCCACCACGCCCGGCTCAGTTTTTAAAGTTTTAGTAGAGATGAGGTCTCACTATGTTGCCCAGGCTGGTCTTGAACTCCTGTCCTCAAGCAATTCTCCTACCTCAGCCTCCCAAAGTGCTGGCATTACAGGCATGAGCCAACATGACCAGTCAAAAAGGTGTATTCTGCTGTTGTTGGGTGGACTATTCTAAAAATGCCTCCTAGGACAAGGTGGTTGACAGTGTTTTCTCTTTTCTTGTTGATTTTCTGCCTAGTTGTTCTATCAGTTATGAGAATGATATATTGAAATTTGTACCCCAAGCTGTTGAACTGTCAGTTTCTCCCTTTAATTGTTATTTTTTGCATCATGTATCTCATGCCTCTGTTTTAGGTGTATACATATTTTAAATTGCTATATATTCCTGGTATATTGAACCTTTTAACATTATGAAATACGCTTTGTCACCGGGTGTGGTGGCTCGCGCCTGTACTCCCAGCACTTTGGGAGGGTGAGGCAGACAGATCACCTGAAGTCAGGAGTTCGAGACCAGCCTGACCAACATAGAGAAACCCCGTCTCTACTAAATATACAAAATTAGCCAGGCATGATGGCACATGCCTGTAACCCTACCTACTTGGGAGGTTGAGGCAGGAGAATTGCTTGAATGCGGGAGGCAGAGGTTGCAGTGAGCCAAGGTCGCGCCATTGCACTCTAGCCTGGGCAACAAAAGTGAAACTCCATCTCAAAAAAAAAAAAAAAAAAAGTCTGTCTTAAAATATATTTTGTGTGATATCAGTATAGTTACTCTAACTTTCTTATTGTTACTGTTCCTGTGATATATATTTTTCTGTCATTTTAATTCTACTTTTCTATCATTTTACTTTTTACTATTTGTGTCTTTGAATCTAAAGTGTGTCTCTTATAAGCGGTGTATAGTTCTTCAATCTTGGCTTTTAGAAAGAAGCCTGAAATCCTCTGCCTTTTGGTTGGGGTGTTTAGTCTATTTGATTTAATTCATTGTGATGTGGTTGGATATACATCTGCTGTTTTGGTAATGTCTAATGTCTATTTCATTCCTCTATTTTTTCTTTACTGCATTCTTGTGTTTCATATAATTTAATGTATAATTTCAATTCCTTTGTTGATTTTTTTATCTGAATATTTTGTAATTATTTTCGTATTTGTTCTAGAGATCACAATATGCTTCTTAATAAGACCATCTACTTCAGGTTAATACTGATTCAACTACAGTAAAATATAGCAACTTCCTTGTGTTAATATTGTTATATGTATTTATATATGCCATTAATTCAACAACACAGAGTTATGATTACTGCTTCATATAATCTTGTCTTTTAAAGAAATTAAGAAAATAGAAAAATAGATATTTATATAGACTTTTATATTTACCTACATTTTTGCCATTTCTGATGCTCTTCATTTCTTCCTATGGATTCAAGTTACTGTCTTAGGTCATTTCCTTTCAGCCTAAAGGACTTCCTTAGTATTTATTTATTATAAGGTAGGACTGCTAGCAATGAATTCACTCAGTCTTTGTTTAATCTGGGAATATATTTATTTTTTCCTTATTATAATTATAGAATGGTGGCAGTTCCCTGACCCTGCCCCCAGCACTTTTTATCCCACTGCCTTTTGCCCTCCGTTGATCCTGATGAGAAGTCAGCTGTTAATCATATTGTTGCTCCCCTGTCTTTAAATCCTTTTTTCTCTTGATCCTTTTGATTTTTTTCTTTCTACCTGTGGTTTGTTGAGCTTCTGGAGTATTTAATGTTTTCTTATTTTAATCGAATTTGGGAAAATTTCAACCATTATTCTTCAGTTAACTGTTCTATCCCTTTCTCCCTCTCCTTTCCTTCTGAGACTTCCACTACATATATGTTGGTACACCACACACATGTTGGTACATTTCATTCTTGAAATATAATTTTGCTATACAGTTTTAGGGGGAAAGTTATTTTTTCTCAGCACTTCAAAGGTATTATTTCATTTCTTCTGGCTTCAGTGATAGCTGCTGGGAGGTCTTCTCCCAGGCCTTAAGTATTGTGAGCTGTCCTTTTTCTCTAGAAAGGTGACCTATACATTTTATCTGGCTATTTTTAAGGTCTGTCCTTTTTCATCTATATATATGTTTTTAAGTTTCTCAGCAATATATCTAGTAGTAGATTTCATTTCCTTTTTCTTTTTCTTCTGCTTATCCTGACTAATATATGCTACGGTTTTTCATATCTGTATGTCCATGTTTTTCTTCAATTCTGGAACATTTTAAGCTAGTATCTCTTCAAGTATTACATTTCTTCCATTCTTTCCTGGATTCTACTTAGACATATGTTAGAGCTTCTAACAGCTCTTAAACTCTCTTTAATGTTTTCTTTCTTGCTTTTTGTATTAGTCCATTCTCACCCTGCTATAAAGAAATACCTGAAACTGGGTAATTTATAAATAAAAAAGATTTAAACAAGGGATGTGAAGGACCTCTTCAAGGAGAACTACAAACCACTGTTCAACGAAATAAAAGAGGACACAAACAAATGGAAGAACATTCCATGCTCATGGATAGGAAGAATCAATATTGTGAAAATGGCCATACTGCCCAAGGTAATTTATAGATTCAATGCCATCCCCATCAAGCTACCAATGACTTTCTTCACAGAATTGGAAAAAACTACTTTAAAGTTCATAAGGAACCAAAAAAGAGCCTGCATTGCCAAGACAATCCTAAGCAAAAAGAACAAAGCTCGAAGCATCACGCTACCTGACTTCAAACTATACTACAAGGTTACAGTAACCAAAACAGCATGGTACTGGTACCAAAACAGAGATATAGACCAATGGAACAGAACAGAGCCCTCAGAAATAACACCACACATCTACAACCATCTGATCTTTGACGAACCTGACAAAAACAAGGAATGGGAAAAGGATTCCCTATTTAATAAATGGCACTGGGAAAACTGGCTAGCCATGTGTAGAAAGCTGAAACTGGATCCCTTCCTTACACCTTATACAAAAATTAATTCAATATGGATTAAAGACTTAAATGTTAGACTTAAAACCACAAAATCCCTAGAAGAAAATGTAGGCAATACCATTCAGGACATAGGCATGGGCAAGGACTTCATGACTAAAACACCAAAAGCAATGGCAACAAAAGCCAAAATTGACAAATGGGATCTAATTAAACTAAAGAGCTTCTGCACAGCAAAAGAAACTACCATCAGAGTGAACAGGCAACCTACAGAATGGGAGAAAAATTTTGCAATCTCACAAAGGGCTAATATCCAGAATCAACAAATAACTTAAACAAATTTACAAGAAAAAATCAAACAACCCCATCAAAAAGTGGGCAAAAGATATGAACAGACACTTTTCAAAAGAAGACATTTATGCAGCCAACAGACACATGAAAAAATGCTCATCATCACTGGTCATCAGAGAAATGCAAATCAAAACCACAATGAGATACCATCTCACACCAGTTAGAATGGCGATCATTAAAAAGTCAGGAAACAACAGTGCTAGAGAGGATGTGGAGACATAGGAATACTTTTACACCATTGGTGGGAGTGTAAACTAGTTCAACCATTGTGGAAGACAGTGTGGCGATTCCTCAAGGATCTAGAACTAGAAATACCATTTGACCCAGCCATCCCATTACTGGGTATATACCCAAAGGATTATAAATCATGCTGCTATAAAGACAAACACACATGTATGTTTATTGTGGCACTATTCACAATAGCAAAGACTTGGAACCAACCCAAATGTCCATCAATGATAGACTGGATTAAGAAAATGTGGCACATATACACCATGGGATACTATGCAGCCATAAAAAAGGATGAGTTCATGTCCTTTGTAGGAACATGGATGAAGGTGGAAACCATCATTCTGAGCAAACTATTGCAAGGACAGAAAACCAAACACTGTATGTTCTCATTCATAGGTGGGAATTGAATAATGAGAACACCTGGACACAGGGCAGGGAACATCACACACCGGGGCCTGTCATGGGGTGGGGGGATGGGGGAGGGATAGCATTAGGAGAAATATCTAATGTAAATGACTAGTTAATGGGTACAGCAAACCAACATGGCACATGTATACATATGTAACAAACCTGCATGTTGTGCACATGTACCCTAGAACTTAAAGTATAATTTAAAAAAAAAAAGAGAGAGGGACTTAATTGGGTCATGGTTCCACAGGCTGTACAGGAAGCATGGCTAGGGCAGCCTCAGGAAACTTATGATCATGGCAAAAAATGATGGGAAGGCAAGCATGTATTACATGGCTCACAATCTAATAAGTATCTACCCAGCGTGAAGAAGGATAATTACAAAATGCTTGCCACATATTATCCTTCATTTATGCATGATAGTATTTTTTTGCATTTTTAACAGGTTTACAGAATTAGAATTACTTTCAGGTTGTGATACCTTGTTCTTCAAATCTTTTTTTTTTTTTCATTTCTTTCTTTTTTTGAGATGGGGGTATGGATGGTTTTGCTCTGATGCCCAGGCTGGAGAGCAGTGGCGCAATCATTGGTCACTGCAGCCTTGATCTCCTGGGCTCAAGCAATCCTCCCATCTCAGCCTTCTGAGTAGCTGGGTCTACAAGCACTCGCCTCCAAGCCTGGCTGATTTTATTTCCCTTTTTTGTAGTACAGACAAGGTGGTGTTATGTTGTCCAGGCTGGTCTTGAGCTCCTAGGCTCAAGCAATCCTTCTGCGTTGGCCTCCCAAAGTGTTGGGAATACAGGCATGAGCCACTGCACATGGCCTAAATCTTTTTCAATCATGCTTGCCCATAACCTGTGTTCCATAAGAAACCATATAAAATAATCCCGTTCTTTTCTTTTGAGTAGTGTCATTAGAAATTATTAATAGGGGCCAAGCATGGTGGCTCATGCCCGTAACCCAGCACTTTGGGAGGCTGAGGCTAGAGGATCACTTGAGCTCAGGAGTTTGAGACCAACCTGGGCAACATAATGAGATCCCATCTCTTTAAAAATAAATAAATAAATAATTTTAAAAGAAGAAATTATTAATAGACTTTTATTAGAAGAAGAAAACCATTATATATCATGTCTGGATTTCAGTTAACTCTCTCTGGACCTAATCTACTTTGACAACAGATGGTGTATAACACAGGGCATGTTTACTTGATAAGTAATAAAAAAAGATGAGTATTTAATTATATTAAAAACAATACTCTAGGCTGGGAGTGGTGTCTCATGCCTGTAATCCCAGCACTTTGGGAGGCCGAGGCCAGTGGATCACGTGAGGTTGGAGTTCAACACCAGCCTGACCAACATGGTGAAACCTTGTCTCTACTAAAAATACAAAAATTAGCTGGGCTTGGTGGCCTGTGCCTGTAGTCCCAGCTACTAGGGAGGCTGAGGCAGGAGAATTGTTTGAACCAGGGAGGCGGAGGTTGCAGTGAGCCAAGATCGCACCATTGCACTACACCCTGGGCAACAGAGTGAGACTCCATCTCAAAAAAAAAAAAAAAAAAAAAAAAAAAGGCTATCATAAATATTGATAGTTTCCCAATGATTTGGTTGAGAAAAGCTAGAAGGGATAGCTAACTTGCTAAGTAAGATCATCAAGATTTTAAAGGATCTCAATAGGCTGGAATAATGGACTGACTGATTTCTAATAAGATACTGATTTATAATAATTTCATAAGGGTAAATAATTTTGAATTTATTTTCAAAAATCAAGTTTATTAGCTCCAATATATGTGGAAAATATCATAGAGGCATTATTTTGTAGTAAACTTGATATGAACCTATATGTTTTTGCTGTCTAAAAAGTCAATATTCATCTACATGAATACCATTTAGAATGAATGGTTGATTGGGGTTCCTGAAGATTAGGAAAAAATAAATATAAAAAAGTAAAAATAGAATGACTGATAATGGTGCTAATCTACTGTGGTCAAAATACTTCTTGAATATGGAATTCAGTTTGGGAATGGTGCACTTTAAGAGATAGAAGAAAAATTGGAGCATGTCCAGAAACAAAAAAGTAGAAATGTGAGGAAATTCCACTGTGTACATGAAGAAATTTTGAAGGAAATAGAATATTTAACCAAGGGTGGGGGGGTGGAGAATTAGAACATAATTGGTTTCGTCACATATTTTAAGGCAGCAGTGTAAAAGAGAAGGGAGATTAATTTTGTTTGACTTTAGAAGATAGGATAGAAACAGGGTAAAACATTCCCACTTGGGCAACAGAGCGAGACCCTACTTCTAAAAGAAATATGGTAGTTTACAGGAGGCCGATTTCAGGAAATAAAATTGTCTACCTTAATATAGTTCCCTGTCACTGGAGGTATTGAAGTAAAGTCTATATGATCTTTTTTTGAAGATCTTCATGAAGAGTTCAAGTATTTATGAGGAGTTTTAGTTGAATATAGTGTATCTCCTTAGCCTTTAGATTCTTTGACATTTCATTCAATTAAAAATTTTCAAATATTACTATTTTCTGATACTAGTTAACTTTCTGAAGGCTTGATATTAGATTTTGGGAAGGCAGCAGAACATATATTTGATAAGATCATAGACTTTGGAGTGATTGTCTGTGTTTAGGTGTGGCTCTGCCACTTACTATTAAAGCTTTGTGATCTTGGTCAATTAACTTCCATATCTTTGAGGCTTTATCTAGACAAAAGCAATGTGTTTCCTCATTTGTAAAATGAGGATAATAGTTCCTACCTGATGAGGTTATTACAAAGATTTAATGACTTAATATTTGTAAAATGCTTAGAGCAGTAACAGGTATGTTGTAAGCACTATAAAAGTGTTATTAAAAAATAATGAGGATTTTTAGTAAAGGTTTTAAGGGACTCTAGGTTTAAGATTGAATTCTATTTTATACCGTACATTTAAATGTTGAAATACATAGTTTTTATTTTCATTTTGATCTTTTGGTGCTGTTTTATTTTTAAATAGCAGGGAGTTTTTTCATGCCATAATTTAAAAATAATAAATCTAATAAGGTCAGTGAATTAATGATCCTGTGCTATGTAAATGTTTAATGTTTACACATTAAAAACTTAATTATTTTGTTGTTTTCCCCTACATGTACTGTATATGAAGTTTAAATTCCAAAGTGTTTCACCCCTAACTTATTTTAAGACCTGGCTTTCATCACTTTCTTTTTGCTTACCCCAAATGCAACAATTCCCTTGCTTAACCAACTTAACTTATGCATCTGGAATTGCAACACAAAGGTCCCAAAACAGCACTTAAGAAACTATGATTTATACTTAATGTGTTACAGGTGGCTTCTTAGGAAAAATGCTTATTTCTAATGTCATTAAAATGATAAATTTCTAAATTCTCAAGTTCTATTTCTGTTAAAAGTTTACTGTGGTTCATTTTCTTCCAAATTTGGTTTTGCATACACATTCCCAAATATTTTTGACCTTATGTTTACAAAAGCAAAATTACTATTAAAATTCTAGTAGAAGTAGATGGATATTAACAAATTCAGCAATAGAATTTCCTGCTATTAAAACATCATAAGTTGTTTAGACTAATCTATGCCAGACTTTATAACATATTCTAGAGATCATCTGGCTAAAAAATTTACATTAGATCGCTATCAAAATCAAGAGGAATGTAATGGATAAGGCAATCTCAAATATAAATTACAACAAAATAAGCAACTACAATAGATTTTAACATTGAATTCTGAGAGATTAACTAGCAGCCAATTTATGTCCTTTGAGAATTTTAGCTCAGTTTCTAGTTTTTAAAAAGTGGTTTACAATGAAATAAATGTGATAATCATGTCTTAAAAACACGTTTGACTACACCTTTGCTAAGTTAATGTTTTCCATTTAAAAGTTACTTTAAAAATGTAGATAGAGACCAAACATGATTTCTAGTAGCTTTGGTGTGTTACTGAGAACATCTATTGATTTAAAGGAAAAAAGTGTATTGACCTATAGTAACACAACTAGGCTGAATTGTAGGTATATATTTATTTACCAATTAAATATCCATCATTTCAGCATAAAAGATAATCCTGTATAACTGTTGTGATATTTTAGGAGAATTTATTTTTGATGATTATTAAATGAAGATGGGTCTTTTCAAAATTTTAACTATGATAAATGAGCTTTAAAAGTGCTATGAAGACAGCCATTTCTGTGTTTTCTAATGTTTAATGCCATTGTGTTCCTGATGAATGAGCATATGAACAAGCTGTGTTAGCCTAATTTGTCCCAGTTTTCCTTGTTCTCATGGCTACTCTTAAGGAAAGAGAGTAGATCTACTGATTGTTGGGCCTGCCGTGGACAGAATTTTCTATCCAGTATTTAGGTCACTTGGCTGATAAAATGGTTTCTGGGATTATGAACAATTTTCTGTGTTTGAATGTCTCCCTGTAACTAAAGAAAGTAAATTTAGTACCATCTTTGCAATATTCAAGTCCGTAATAATGGGGTTGTGTCTTCTGAGCCTGTGGACCATAGAAAAGCCCCAATCTACTACTGAACATGCAGGAGAAACTCAATATAGAACCGACTAGGATTTTCCCTAATTGTTTTCTTGTTCCGACACTTACAAAAACTCTTATTGTGCCTACTTTATGTCAGACCCTATGCTATATACTAATAATATTTTTAAAACAAAACAAAAATGCCCATTCTCAAGGACTTTATAATCTAGTGAGAGTCAGAAAAATAAGAAAAGCTTTTAATACAGTTTGAAAATGCTATGATAGGGTGCTAAAAGAACATAGCAAAGATGTGCCTAATTACACCTGAGATGGCTTGGGAAGGTTATCTGGATAAGGTAATGACTGAATTAAGATGCAAATTTTGTGGAAATTACTAGGGAACATTTAGGGTAAAATAAGAGGATGGTAAGTATATCCCAAGCAAAGAACAGCATTTGCAAAGGCAAAGAGGTTAAAGAGTGTGTGGTATATTGTTAAAAAACACTAAATATTTTGGTATAGCCAGTAAACAGGAGCTTATTGTTAGAGTGCAGAAATATTTCTGGAAAGGCAAAGTCCAGGTCAAGAAGTGTTTTCAAGAAAATCCTATGATTTAAAATTTTATTCTGAATATGACACATTGTTAGACGGTTTTGTAGTAGCCATACTACCATTTTCTGAGGTTGTATGAGATATACATACAGCAAAGTGCATTAAGTCTAAAACTCTATGAATGGAAATATGTAAACACCTCTGTAACTACCACTCAGATTAAAATATTGAACACTTCTAGCACTCCAGATTCTCTCATGCCTCTTTCTTATCTATAACTATCCTTCATCCAGACAACAATTATTCTAACTTATATTACCATGGATTAATTTTGCCTTCTCTCATACTCTTTCTAAATTTAAAAAAATTATTCTTTCACTCATCATAATATTTGTGAGATTCATCCATGTTAATACATCGCAGTACTAGGTGTTTTTTTCTTACTGCTGGGTAGTCTCTAGTTGTATGATTTTGTCAGTTTGTACATTCTACTATTCACTAACATTTGCATTGTTTTCATTTGTTTGCTACAATAAAAGTACTATAAATGTTCTTTGCATATGTTGATATGTTGTTTGAATTCATATATGCATTCAGTTCTTTTGAGTGGGTTCTTTTGCAGTGAATTGGATTTCTGGGCTTAGTAGATACTGCCAAAAAGTTTTCTAAAATGGTTGTACCAATTTATACTTTCACCATCAATGTATGAGTTCTAATTGATCTACATTTTCTTCGATTCTTAATTTTTTCATTACTAGTTATTCTGGTGGGGTGTGATATCTCATTGTAGTTGTAAATTGCATTTCCCCGATGATAATGATGTGGCTACTTATTGGTCACTTGAATATCTTCTGTTAGGAGGACCTGTTCAATTCTTTTGTCCATTTTAATGTTTAAAAAATGTTTTCTTTTATCTTATTTGTAGGAATTCTGTATAAACTCAGGATACAAACAAAGGTTATATGTATGTATTTTGAATCTCTTCTCTGCGTTGTTGCCTTCCTTTTCACTCTCTTACTGCTGGTTTTTTGTTTGTTTGTTTGTTTAAGGCGAAGTTTCACTCTTATTGCCCAGGGTGGAGTGTGGTGGCACGATCTTGGCTCACTGCAACCTGTGCCTCCTGGGTTCAAGCAATTCTCTGCCTCAGCCTCCCAAGTAGCTGGGATAACAGGTGTCCACCACCACGCCCGGCTAATTTTTTGTATTTTTAGTAGAGACGGGGTTTCACCATGTTGGCCAGGCTGGTCTTGAACTCCTGATCTCAGGTGATCTACCCACCTCGGCCTTCTTACTGGTGTTTTTGATGAATTAAAGCTCTTAATGAAGCTCAATTTATTAATTTTTATCTTACAGTTAGTGTTTATTTGTATCCTGATTAATCTTTGTCTACAACAAAGTCATAAAGATATTCTTCTATGTTTTTCCTCCATAAACTTTATTGTTTTGTCTTCATATTTAGATTCGTGATTCATCTCAACTACTCTTATGGATGGTATGAGTTAGAGGTTAAGTTTTGTTGTTTCTCATACAGGTATTCAATTGTCTAGCAACATTTGTTTAAAAAAATTTTTTCTACTTAATTACAGTTACAATTTCATTGTAAATCAGGTGACTGTACATGTGTGAATCTATTTCTGAAGTCCCTATTCTGCACCATTATTGTGCCAATACCACAATAATCACTCTAACTTTATAGTAAGTCTTAAAATCTTGTTCTTTGTCAAGATTATCTTGGCTATCCTAGGTCCTTTACATTTGCATATAAATTTTAGAATCAGCTTGTCAATTTCCACAAAGTTCAAACCTGGAATTTTGATTCGGATTGCATTTAATATATAGATAAAGTTGTGGGAAATTGGCATCTTATTATTATTAAGGTTTTTTCCTCCATTAACATAAATTATCTTTTTATGAAGATCTTCTTCAGTTTCTCCTAGCAATGTCTAGGAGTTTTCACTGTAAAGTTCTTTCACATCTTTTGGTAGATTTATTCCTAGGTATTGGCTTTTTAAGCACTATTGTCAATGGTGTTGCTTTATAAATTTCACTTTCCACTATTTGTAGCTAGTATATAGAAATATAATTAATTTTTATATATTAACCTTGTATCCACCTACCTTGCTAAGTACACTTTTTTTTTTTTTTTTTTTGAGACAGGAGTTTCGCTCTTGTTGCCCAGGCTGGAGTGCAATGGCGCGATCTCGGCTCACTGCAACCTCCGCCCCGCCCCAGGTTCAAGCAATTCTCCTGCCTCAGCCTCCTGAGTAGCTGAGATTCCAGGCGTGTGCCTCCATGCCCGGCTAATTTTGTGTTTTTAGTAGAGATGGGGTTTCTCCATGTTGGTCAGGCTGGTCTCAAACTCACCATCTCAGGTGATCTGCCCACCTTGGCCTCCCAAAGTGCTGGGATTACAGGCGTGAGCCACTGCACCCGGCCCAATACACTTTTTTTTTTTGTAGAATTTCTATTATATACAATATGTTATCTGCAATAATGTATTTTTTACTTTCTTTCCAATCTTTATACCTTGAACTTTTTTTATTGCACTGGTTAGGACTTCTAGTATTATACTAAATAGATAGTAGTGAACATTGTTGTCATGTTTCCAAATTCGGGGGGAAAGTGTTACCCCTATATCCTAGTGGTAGGCTTTGTGCAGTTGCTTTTTATCAGTCTTTAAAAGTTTTTTTTCTTAGTTTGCTGAAAGTTTTTATCAGGAATAGGTGTTAAACTTTATCAAATGCTTTTGTTGTAGCTATTGAGATTATCATATTGTTTTTCTTCTTATTGTGTTAATGTGGTAATTAAATTAATTGATTTTTCAAATGTTAAACCCACTTTACTTCCAATCTAACTTGGTCATCATATGTTATCCTTTCCACATATCACAAGGTCTAATTTGTTAATACCTTCTTCAGGATTTTGGCATCTAAATTCATGGGAGATATTGGCCTGCAATTTTCCTTTTTTATATTGTCTTTGTCAAGTGTTAGAGTTATGCTGGCTACATAAAATGAGTTGAGAAGCGTTCATTCTTTCACTATAGTTTTAAAGAGTTGTTCATATTGGTGTTATTTCTTTTCTTAAATGTTTGGAATAATTCTCCAGTGAAACCATCTAGGCATGAAATTTTCTTTGTGGAAAGGGTTTTAATTATGAATACTGTCTTTTTTTTTTTTTAACAGATCATTCATTTTATTTCCTTCCTTCCTTCTTTCCTTCCTTCCTTCCTCCCTCCCTCTTCCTCCCTCCCCCCTTGCTTCCTTCTCTTCCTTCCTTCCCTTCCTTCCCTTCCTTCCTTCCCTTCCTTCCTTCCCTTTTTCCTTCCTTCTTTATATATTGTGAAACTATGTTATTATGTGCATACAAATTTAGGATTGTTTTATGTTGCTTTTGAATTGAAATGTTATTCATTATGTCTTTCTTTATATCTAGCAATACATCTGCCTTAAAGTTTACTTTTTCCCACATGAACAAAACCATAATAGTTTTCTTTTGGTTAGGGTTTCTTTTCTTTTCTTTTTTGAGACAGAGTTTCACTCTTGTCGCCAGGCTAGAGTACAATAGTAAAATCTCGGCTCACTGCAACCTCCACCTCCTGAGTTCAAGTGATTCTCCTGCCTTAGCCTCCCAAGTAGCTGAGACTATAGGCGTACACCACTATATCGGGCTAATTTTTTTGTATTTTTAATAGAGACAGGGTTTCAGCATTTTGGCCAGGCTAGCCTCGAACTCCTGACCTCAGGTGATCTGCCTGCTTTGACCTCCCAAAGTGCTGGGATTACAGGCTTGAGCTACTGCACCAGCTAGTTAGGGGTTTATTTTCAACCTTTCTCTGTTCTTTTTTTTTTTTTTTTTTTGAGATGGAGTTTGCTCTTTTCACTCTTGTTGCCCAGGCTGGAGTGCAATGGCACGATCTTGGGTCACTGCAACCTCTGCCTCCTGGGTTCAAACAATTCTCCTGCCTCAGCCTCCTGGGTTCAAGCAATTCTCCTGCCTCAGCCTCCCAAGTAGCTAGGATTACAGGCACGTGCCACCATGCCCAGCTAATTTTTGTATTTTTAGTAGAGACTATGTTGGCCAGGCTAGTCTTGAACTCCTGACCTCAGGTGATCCACCCGCCTCTGCCTGCCAAAGTGCTGGGATTACAGGTGTGAGCCACCACGCCTGGCCTGTTCTTATATTTATAGCATGTTCTCTGTAAAAAACACACAATTGGATCTTGTTTTTCGTCATTTTGACAATATTTTTCTTTTATTTGGAGTGTCCATGTACATCTAATATAAGTACTCATATATTTAGAGTTAAACTTACCATCTTGCCTTTTGTTTTCTGTCTCATTTATCTTTGTTTCTTTACTTCTCCTTTCCTATTGTCACCTTCCTCCTCCTCATCTTCTTGTTCTTGACTAGTTGAGAATTTTTAGTTATACATTTTTTGGTATTAGTCTCTTAAAGATCACCTTAGAGCAAGGTTTCTTCATCTCACCACTATTGACATTTTGGAGCTGATATTTTTTGTTGTGGGAGGCTGTCCCGTGCATTGTAGGATATTTAGCAGCATCTCTGGCCTCTACCCAGTAGCAGCATTACCCCTTCTCCATTGTGACATCCAAAAAATCTCCAGACATTGGCAAATGTCCCCTGGGGTGGCAAAAATCAACCCTGGTTGAAAATTACCACTCCAGAGCAGTGCTGTGCAATAGATATATAAAAGCAAGCCATATATGTAATTTTAAATTTTGTCGTAGTCACATTAAAAAAGCAAAAAGAGAGGTTACATTAATTTGAATAATGTTTTTATTTAACCAAATGTACCCAACATACTATCATTTCAAGACATATTTAATATAAAAAATTGTTATGAGATATTTTACATTCTTTCATACTACAGCTTCCAAATATGGTGGATGTTTTATTCTTACATTGCATCTCAATTTGAGCTAGTCACATCAGGTGCTCCATAGTGACATGTGGCTACTAGCTATCAGATTACACAATACTCTCGAGACCTCTTTATATTTGACTCATTATACTCACTAATCAATAAGGCAGTAAATACGGTAAAAATACATCAGTACTTCTACAACAATAGAGAAATCTTACAACAGTTTAATTCCTTTTATCCCCCTTCAAACTTTTGTAGTGTTGTCATATATTTTATTTCTATATATGGAATAAACCTCACAAGACACCATAGATGCTCCTCAACTTATGATGGGGTTATGTTCAGATAAATCCATTCTAAATTGAAGATATCATAAGTCAAAAATACATTTAGGGCCGAACCCAGTGGCTCACGCCTATAATCCCAGTATTTTGGAAGGCTGAGGCGGGAGGATCGCCTGAGTCCAGGAGTTAAAACCCAGCCTGGGAAATCTGGGGAGACTCCACCTCTACAAAAATTAAAAAAAAAAAAATTAGCCAGATGTGGTAGCATGCACGTGTGGTCCTAGTTACTCAGGAGGCTGAGGCGGGAGGATTACTTGAGCCTAGGAAGCTGAGGCTGCAGTGAGTCCTGTTCTTGCCACTGCACTCCAGCCTGGGCAACAGAGCAAGACCCTGTCTCAATATTTTTTTTTTTTTAAAAAAGCATTTAATCGGCCGGGCGCGGTGGCTCACGCCTGTAATCCCAGCACCTTGGGAGGCCGAGGCAGGTGGATCACGAGGTCGGGAGATCAAGACCATCCTGGCTAACATGGTGAAACCCCGTCTCTACTAAAAATACAAAAAATTAGCTGGGCGCAGTGGCGGGCGCCTGTAGTCCCAGCTACTTGGGAGGCTGAGGCAGGAGAATGGCGTGAACCCGAGAGGCGGAGCTTGCAGTGAGCCGAGATCGTGCCATTGCACTCCAGCCTGGGCGACAGAGCGAGACTCCATCTCAAAAAAAAAAAAAAAAAGCATTTAATAACCTAATCTACCTGGCATCATAGCTTAGAGTAGCCTACCTTCAGTATGCTCGGGACACTTACCTTAGCCTACATGGGCAAAATTAACACAAAGCCTACTTTATAACAAAGTGTTGAATATCTCATGTAACTTACCAAATATGATACTGAAAATGAAAAACAGAATGGTTGTATGGGTACTCAAAGTATGATTTCTACTGAATGTTATTGCTTTTGCACCATTGTAGAGTTGAAAACTCTTAAGTCGGACCATTGCAAGTTGGGAACCATCTGTATTATTGTCGCTTTTTAAAAAATCTGGTTACTTTTATACTGACTCACATATTTACCACTCTGTTATTTTTCATTTCTCCCGCAGCTCTGTACTTCAACTGGGATCATTTTCCTTCAGCCTAAAGAACTTCTTCTAGAATTTATTACTGTGTGGATTTTCTAGAAATAAATTCACTTAGTTTTTGTTTTCTGGGTTTTGTTTTTTCCTTTGGTCCAAAGTTGGTTTTTTTTTTATGATACACAGTCTCACTGTGTCGCCCAGGCTGGAGTGTAGTGGTGCTATCTCAGCTCACTGCAACCTCTGCCCCCCAGATTCAAGCGATTCTCCTGCCTTGGCCTCCCAAGTAGCTGGGAGTAATTACAGGCATGCACCACCATACCCAGCTAATTTTTGTATTTTTAGTGAAGACAGGGTTGCACCATGTTGGCCAGGCTGGTCTTGAACTCTCGGCCTCAAGTGATCCGCCCGCCTCGGCCTCCCAAAGTGCTGGGATTACAGGCATGAGCCACCGTGCCCAACCTATCTCACATTATTTTGAAGAAAACTTTTTCTTGGTATAGAATTCTAGGTTGGGAATTTTTTTCTTTTAGCAAGTGAATGATGTCATTCCATATTCTTTGTTGCTTCTGCTGAAAAGTCAGTTGGAAATCTCATTGTTGCTCTTTTAAAGATAATGCTTCATTTTTTTCTAGCTGATTTTAATATTTTAGTTTTTTATCTCTGATTTCAGAAGTTTTACCAAATTGTATCTGGGCATGGTAATCTTTGCATTTATCCTGAACCTCTTGAATATGTATTTTATTTAATATACATGTATTTTTTGAGACAGGGTCTCACTCTGTTGTCCAAGCTGGGTTCAGTGGTGCAATTATGGTTCACTGCAGCCTTAACTTCCTGGGCTCAGATAATCCTCCCACCTCAGCCTTGCGAGTATCTGGGACCACAGGTGCACACCACCACGTCCAGCTAGTTTTTTTTGGTATTTTTTAGTAGAAATGGGGTTTCACCATGTTGCCAAGACTGGTCTCAAACTCCAGAGTTCAAGCAATCCACCTGCACTGGCTTCCAAAAGTTCTGGGATTATATGCGTGAGCCACTGCACCTGGCCTGATACATTTTTTAAATCAATTTAAGAAAATCCTTGGCCATTATTTCTTTAAATATTGCTTCAGCCCCATTCTCTTTCTCTTCTGCATTCAAAATTCCAATTATATATATGTTAGGCGATTTGAATCTGTCCTGCATGTCTTTTATTACTGTTGTTTTTCTTATTCTTTCTTTCTTTCTATGTTCAGTTTGAATATTTTTATTGGACCTGTTTTTGTGTTCACTAGTCTTTCTAATATGTCCTTAAACCCATTTGATTAGTTTATTATTTCATTTCTGGATTGTTCATTTGATTCTTTTAAATAAATTTTAATTGACTAGACATTTTCACTCTACTTTTTCACTTACTTTTATATCTCTTCTTCAATTATTTTTTTAAAATTTGTAATAGTGATTTTTAATTTTTTGGGGCCAGGAATGGTGGCTCACTCCTGTAAATCCCAACACTTTGGGAGGCCAAGGCAGGCTGGTCACTTGGGGCCAGGAGTTTGAGACCAGCTTGGCCAACATGGCAAAACCCCATCTCTAAAAAAAAAAAAATTAAATTAAATTAAAATATTTGTCTGCTAATTCCACCATATAGATCATGGGTGGATTTGGCTCTGTTTGTTTTTTATCTTGATTATTGATATCCTTTTTCTTCCTCCTATATGCGTTATAATTTTAACTATATGCATATATTGTGTATAGTAGAAAGTACAGGTGATACTATTTTCCCCCAGAGATGGTGCAAACTTTTCCTTGTTAACTAGATGTGGTAAGGTGAAAATCACCACATCCAATCTGGAATTGAGCTAGGTTGGAGCTGAGGTATAGTTTTAATGAAACTTAGTTCACCTCTGATTTATACCTGTTCCTTAGAGGTGACCCTTCTGAGCTTTTTGTTGAAAGACTGGTAGGTCCAAAGTACTTGCCTACTGTAGGGAAAGCCTGAAATACCAATGGAGAGTCATCTGTCCTTCAGAGATTTGAACACCATGAAATCACAAGACATTTTACTCTGCCTTTCCAGCCAGCAACATGCTCAAGTGTGACCATTTCAGGCTTCTGATTGAAAGCCTCGTGAGTCCCTGTCTCCTCAGCATTTTTCTGTGCTTTGGAGTTTTAAACTTAATCCTTTCGTGCTTCTCTCCCCATGCAGTTTCACAATCTGGTGGATTTCTTAAGAAGGGAGACCTGTTGTGTATTTGTTGCAGGACCATTCACTTAATTTTAGCAAGGCTCTTTGTCTTCTAAGCGTCATGAAATTTCACTCTGCCTTCCTGGCCTAGGCCCACCAGCTTCCTGCTTCACTCGGTGAGAAAATGTCCCATGTGATAAACTGGTGGCACATTTGTAGCACCTTTAAATTCCAATCCATTATGCCAGCCCATGTAGTTGTCAAATGCTCTTCTGTTTCTTTCCCCCAGGGGAATCATTCTTATTAGGCCAAGCGCAATTCCTCAGTCTGTGCCTAGAATAAGACAGTATGAGAAAGGAAAAGTCATTGCCAGCTTATCTAGCAAAAAAACTCTTCCTGCTGAAATTTTAATTCATCTAAATGAACACTGATGTATTGAAAAATGATTTTTGTGATCTTTCTTTCTTTTTCTTTTCTTTTTTTTTCCTTTGAGACAGAGTCTCACTCTATCTCTCAGGCTGAAGTGCAGTGGCACAATCTCAGCTCACTGCAACCTCCACCTCCTGGGTTCAAGCGATTCTCCTGCCTCAGCCTCCCAAGTAGCTGGGATTACAGGGGCATGCCACTATGCCTGGCTAATTTTTGTATTTTTAGTAGAGATAGAGTTTCACCATGTTGACCAGACTGGTCTTGAACTCCTGGCCTCAAGTGATCCACCTGCCTTGGCCTCCCAGAGTGCTGGGATTACAGGCGTGAGCCACTGTGCCCGGCTTTATCTTTTTTTCTAGTTGTTGCAGCAGAATATTCATGTATCTTTCCTACTCTATCCTATCTACAAGATGAATTATTGTGACTTAAAGTGAATTTTCCATATTACTAATTAAGTAGAGCTGTTGTCATATATTTATTGGGCATTTGCATTTCTCTTTTTATGAAATATATGTTAAGTTTTTGCCTCTTTTTTCTACTAGGTTGTTTACTGTTTATTGATTTGAAGGAGCTTTTTACATATTCTTCTAGAATGGGTCTTTTTTAAGTTTTATGTATTACAAATATCTCCTCCCCCTCTGTGAATTTTTTGTTACTTTTCTGTCAGTATGTAATACATCATAATAAAAAAGGTTAAAAATATTTTGGGAGATGTTGAGATTGAGACACCTGTGGCCTATCCAAGTGCTAATATCTGGACCACAGATGTAGATTTTGGAGTATACCTGGACACTTTATGAATTGCTTCAGATTCTTCACTAGTCTTCCTGACCATCAGCTGCTTGCTTTGCCCCAGTGGCTGCATCAATGGCCAGTGTGTCTATTCGATTCTTCTCTCTTTTCTTTTTTATTAGTCTGGCTAGTGGTCTGGCTATTTTGTTAATCTTTTCAAAAAACCAGCTCCTGGATTCACTGATTTTTTGAAGGGTTTTTCGTGTCTCTATCTCCTTCAGTTCTGCTCTGATCTTAGTTATTTCTTGTCTTCTGCTAGCTTTTGAATTTGTTTGTTCTTGCTTCTCTAGTTCTTTTAATTATGATATTAGGGTCTCGATTTTAGATCTTTCCCGCTTCCTCCTGTGGGCATTTAGTGCTATACATTTCCCTCTAGACACTGCTTTAGCTGTGTCCCAGAGATTCTGGTACGTTGTGTCTTTGTTCTCATTTGTTTCAAAGAACTTATTTATTTCTGCCTTAATTTCATTATTTACCCAGTAGTCTTGAATAAACTCAGGAGCAGGTTTATTCAGTTTCCATGTAGTTGTGTAGTTTTCAGTGAGTTTCTTAATTCTGAGTTCTAATTTGATTGCACTTGGTCTGAGAGACTGTTTGTTATGATTTCTGTTCTTTTGCATTTGCTGAGGAGTTTTTTACTTACAATTATGTGGTCAATTTTAGAATAAGTGCCATGTGGTGCTGAGAAGAATGTATATTCTGTTGATTTGGGGTGGAGAGATCTGTAGATGTCTATTAGGTCCACCTGGTCCAGAGCTGAGTTGAAGTCCTGAATATCCTTGTTAATTTTCTCTCTTGTTGATCTGTCTAATATTGACAGTGGGGTGTTAAAGTCTCCCACTGTTATTGTGTGGGAGTCTAAGTCTCTTTGTAGGTCTCTAAGAACTTGCTTTATGAATCTGGGTGCTCCTGTATTGGGTGCATATATATTTAGGATAGTTAGCTCTTCTTATTGCATTGATCCCTTCACCATTATGTAATGCCCTTCTTTGTCTTTTTTGATTTTTGTTGGTTTAAAGTCTGTTTTATCAGAGACTAGGATTGCAACCCGTTTTTTTTTTTTTTTTTGCTTTCCATTTGCTTTGTAAATATTCCTCCATCCCTTTATTTTGAGCCTATGTGTGTCTTTGCACGTGAGATGGGTCTCCTGAATACAGCACACTGATAGGTCTTGACTCTTTATCCAACTTGCCAGTCTGTATCTTTTAATTGGGGCATTTAGCCTGTTTACATTTAAGGTTAATATTGTTATGTGTGAATCTGATCCTGTCATTATGATGCTAGCTGGTATTTTGGCCATTAGTTGATGCAGTTTCTTCATACTGTCAATGGTCTTTACAATTTGGTATGTTTTTGCAGTGGTTGGTACCCATTTTTCCTTTCTATATTTAGTGCTTCCTTCAGGAGCTCTTGTAAGGCAGGCCTGGTGGTGATAAAATCTCTCAGCATTTGCTTGTCTGTAAAGGATTTTATTTCTCCTTTGCTTATGAAGCTTAATTTGGCTGGATATGAAATTCTGGGTTGAAAATTCTTTTCTTTAAGAATGTTGAATATTGCCCCCCACTATCTCTGGGTTGTAGGGTTTCTGCAGAGAGATCCACTGTTAGTCTGATGGGCTTCCCTTTGTGGGTAACCCGAGCTTTTTCTCTGGCTGCCCTTAACATTTTTTCCTTCATTTCAACCTTGGTGAATCTGATGATTATGTGTCTTGGGGTTGCTCTTCTCAAGGAGTATCTTTGTGGTGTTCTCTCTATTTCCTGAATTTGAATGTTGGCCTGTCTTGCTAGGCTAGGGAAGTTCTCCCGGATAATACCCTGAAGAGTGTTTTCCAACTTGATTCCATTCTTCCCGTCACTTTCAGGTACACCAATCAAACGTAGGTTTGGTCTTTCCACATAGTCCCATATTTATTGGAGGTTTGTTCATTCCTTTTCCTTCTTTTTCCTCTAATCTTGTCCTCAGGCTTTATTTCATTAAGTTGATCTTCAATCTCTGATATCCTTTCTTCTGCTTGATTGATTCGGCTATTGATACTTGTGTATGCTTCACAAAATTCTTGTGCTGTGTTTTTCAGCTCCATCAAGTCATTTATGTTCTTCTCTAAACTGGTTATTCTAGTTAGCAATTCCTCTAACCTTTTTTCAAGGTTCTTAGCTTCCTTGCATTGGATTAGAACATGCTCCTTTAGCTCGGAGGAGTTTGTTATTTCCCACCTTCTGAAGCCTACTTCTGTCAATTTGTCAAACTCATTCTCTGTCCAGTTTTGTTCCCTTGCTGGCGAGGAGTTGTGATCCTTTGGAGGAGAAGACGCATTCTGGTTTTTGGAATTTTCAGCCTTCTTGTGCTGGCTTTTCCTCAATTTTCGTGGATTTATCTACCTTTGGTCTTTGATGTTGGTTACCTTCAGATGGGGTTTTTGTGTGGATGTCATTTTTGTTGATGTTGATGCTATTCCTTTCTGTTTGTTAGTTTTCCTTCTAACAGTCAGGCCCCTCTGCTGCAGGTATGCTGCAGTTTGCTGGAGGTCCACTCCAGACACTGTTTTCCTGGGTATCACCAGCAGAGCCTCCAGAACAGCAAAGATTGCTGTCTGTTCCTTCCTCTGGAAGCTTCGTCAGAGGGGCACCCGCCAGATGCCAGTCGGAGCTCTCCTGTATGAGGCGTCTGTCGACTCCCACTATGTGGTGTCTCCCAGTCGGGAGGCACGGGGTTCAGGGACCCACTTGAGGAGGCAGTCTGTCCCTTGGCAAAGCTTGAGTGCTGTGCTGGGAGATCCTCTGCTCTCTTCAGAGCCAGCAGGCAGGAATGTTTAAGTCTGCTGAAGCTGCGCCCACAGCCACCCCTTCCCCCAGGTGCTCTGTTCCAGGGAGATAGGAGTTTTATCTATAAGCCCCTGACTGGGACTGCTGCCTTTCTTTCAGAGAGGCCTTGCCCAGAGAGCAGGAATCTAGAGAGGCAGTCTGGCTACAGCGGCTTTACTGAGCTGCAGTGGGCTCTGCCCAGTTCAAACTTCCAAGTGGCTTTGTTTACACTGTGAGGGGAAAATCACCTACTCAATCCTCAGTAATGGTGGGCGTCCCTCCCCCCACCAAGCTCAAGCATTCCAGGTCAACTTCAGACCACTGTGCTGGCAGCAAGAATTTCAAGCCAGTGGATCTTAGCTTGCAGGGCTCTGTGGGGGTGGGATCCACTGAACTAGACCACTTGGCTCCCTGGCTTCAGCCCCCTTTCCAGGGGAGTAAATGGTTCTGTCTCGCTGGGGTTCCAGGCACCACTGGAGTATGGAAAAAAATTCCTGCAGCTAGCTCGGTGTCTGCCCAAATGGCTGCCCAGTTTTGTGCTTGAAACCCAGGGCCCTGGTAGTGTAGGCACCTGAGGGAATCTTCTGATCTGTGGGCTGTGAAGACCGTGAAAAAATCGTAGTATCTGGGCCAAAGTGCCCAATCCCTCACGGCTTCCCTTGGCTAGGGGAGAGAGCTCCCCGACCCCTGGTGCTTTCCAGGTAAGACGACGCCCCACCCTGCTTTGGCTTACCCTCTGTGGGCTGCACCCACTGTCTAACCAGTCTCAGTGAGATGAGCCAGGTACCTCAGTTGGAAATGCAGAAATCACACTCCTTCTGTGTTGATCTTGCTGGGAGCTGCAGACCAGAGCTGTTCCTATTTGGCCATCTTACCAGCCACCTCCACATGGTGTTTCTTTATAACCTGCCCAAAGATGTCCTGCATGGGTAAGTTTCTGGTTATGTAACTTTGAGAAGTAATGGCCAGTTTAGTAATGAACCACATTAAATTTGCTCCCAATTTTTTCCTGTCTCAATTCCCTTTTTCCCTCACTCTTACATAAACAATTCAGCTTTGCCTCAGGATTTGTTTTCTAGGAAACCCAAACCTACAAATCTTGTAAGTTAGTAGTCTTTCCTTCTCTCCTTTAAATTCTATCCACTCTCCCAATCCATTTCCCTCCTCTGAAGTAAACAATGTTATTTTCAGGTCCTGCTCAAATAGTGCTTTTTCCAGTTTACTTCTTAGATTCTGTTTTTCATTCAACCCTGCTAGAACTTTTCCTCTTCTTTTCCTGTGACACTTACCATTTTTCTCCTTATAATTGTAACCTTTTCATTGAACAAGCTGGACCTGGTACAGTACTAGCACAAAGTAATTTTGTTCTTTCTCACTGATTTCTTCAAGCCTACTCTCTCAACTTTTTTATCTCCATTCCTGGATGACATCTCAGGCAAGCTTCACAGCTTTGTTGGTCACTTTTAGTAATTAAAAAACAAAAAAAATAAACAAAAAACCTACCAGTTAATCAAATGAAGTCTCTTTTTTAAAATAAAAAAAGTCCAGTCCAAACTCTCCTACTTCAAACTCTCATACAATTTAAACTTATCCTGTACACAGTTTGGCCTGCTTTAGATGTAACAGCCTTAGTTGGGGAGAGTGACATAATTGACTTCTTTTTTACTTCACCACTTTGTGCTTCCACTCCTACTCCCCCATTCACAAGACTGTATTTTGGATTAGAACAAGGGAGAGGGAGGAGGTAAGGGGCAGAAAAATCTCACTTGACTGATGCAGTTATAATCTGCCTCCAGGGTGCTCTTTGTGGCAGTTGCACAATCAGTGGCTCTAACTTTAATAGAGCACTTTTGTGGGCTTTTTTGTAGACCCCCTCTTTTAAGTTCCCTGGGTATTTCTCTGTTCTCAATGCCTATTCCAGCATATTAATTACAACTCCACCCAACATTATTTAAAAAAAAATCTTCCTTAGTTAAAAAATAAAAAATAACAGTTTCTGGCAGTCCACCCATCTGCCTTGTCCCTCTCAAGAAGACCCAATCTGGCTCTCCGGCACCTTTCTAGGACAGGGATAGAAACTGAAGCCAGACCTCAATAAGTTGACAACAAGATTTTCTTATACTTATTCTGAGTATAGCACCTTAGCATTCAATAAATGCTAAGTTTTGTTATACCTCAGTGCCTCCACTAGAAGTCAAGGTGTGGCCCAAAACTCTCAGCTTAGCAAGACTTTCTCTTGCACTAATTACTACTTTACTATCAAAATCTTCTTTGGGACCTTCAGGAGTAATCTTGTCTTGCCATTTATCTCTGTTATATCAATCACTACAAAAAGTCAGTTCACAGGTCACCCCTCTTACCCCAGATATAACCTCCATTAGACTATGCATATTTCATTACCTGACCCCTTTTCCCACCTACCTCTGCTACTCACTACCATATTAACAGCCTAGATCTTGTCTTACCTATAAACTATAACCTTTCTCTAATTTCCCTAATCAATTTCATGCATGTCAGTCTCTAACCATCATCTCCTGTCTTTCCACTCACTCCCTTTAAGCTCCTGACTTTAATAATTCTCAAAGTCACCTGAGACTTAGACCCTATTGCTCCTATGACCTTTTACTTGTCCTTCATTCCACTTATGACCTCACACCATTCTTACCTACTTTAAACTCTATGGTTAATGATTATAATTGTGTGGAGGGCCACACAACCTGCCTTGCATTCCTCTCACTTTGGCAAGACTAGTTAAATTACACTCTCTACCATTATTCTCACATAGCTAAATGTGACTGGAGAGGAACATAACAATATGGCCACTCTCACTTTAAATTTATCACCACTAGTCTCAAGTGGGCCATTAATGCTTTTCAGAAATTGTACTATATTACTCTACCACTCTCATAGAGAACTATTCATACCGTCTGTCACCTCAGATCTATAACTTTTCTCCCTCCCCTCTCTTCCTCTCACTCTGGACTGTGCTTGCCGAATGGGCTGAGCATGCTTCCATGATGTCTGGAGAGGGCCCTAAGGCAGAATGCAGGCTCACTGGAGGAGGAAATGGCAATGTGAGGTGAACTGGAATGGACTAACACAGATGTGGCTGAAATCAAGAGATGGCCTGTGAATATGTAACATGAGTGCCAGAGACATCTGCTACAGAGGGAGACATGTCATTGTTATAATAATTATTCTCAATTAGGAATGAGGTTGCCTAGGCCATGAGTGGTGACGCATGCCTGTAATCTCAGCACCCTGGGAGGCCGAGGCGGGAGGATCACTTGAGGCCGGAGTTCAAGACGATGGTGAAACCCCGTCACTACCAAAAATACAAAAATTAGCCAAGCGTGGTTGTGCATGCCTGTAGTCCCAGCTATTTATGAGGCTGAGGGAGGAGAATCGCTTGAGCCAGGGGGACAGAGCTTGCAGTGAGCCAAGATCATGCCACCGCACTCCAGCCTGGGAGACAGGGCAAAACGCTGTCTCAAAAAAAAAAAAAAAAAGGAATGAAGTTGCCTTAGTACAAGAGCAGCTAAATTTGGAATCGATATATTTCAGCGGTTAGCCTTTTTCTTTCTCAAAATCAAATTTAGTTTTTGGTTAAGATGCAGTGGGAATATTTATTACATTTTTATTTATTGATTTTCTATTACATGAACTGACCTTGAGGAATTTACAATCTATTTGAGAGAGAAAAGATAATTCTTATTTGTAAGATACAAAAATTGGTGAATGATTCAGAATGAAATATAAAAAATAAGTCCCATGAATTCAGATATAGATTGTTCAGGAAATAAGAACACTTCAAATGTCATTGTAAAAATATTAAATTGTTATTACTATAAGTAGTGGTATACGTAGTATGTTTGACACCAGGATTGGATAATTTTGTTAACACATTTCTCCTCTAGATGACAAGATTATCTAAAATAAAAATCAGAAAATGAAATGAATAATCATAATGGCCAGAAAATAAACAGAAACAGTGAAAATCTTCTTTTGTTCAAAAGAGAAAAATAAATATTAAAGTACGAAATAATGAAAAAATAACAAATTAATACTTTTTAATTAATTTAGTTTTTAAATGGGAAAGAAAGGCTGGGTGCGGTGGCTCACACCTGTAATCTGAGCACTTTGGAAGGCTGAGGCAGGCGGATCCCGTGAGCCCGGAAGTTGGAGACCATCCTTGGGAACCCTGCCTCTACAAAAAATACAAAAATTAGCCAGGCATAATGGCACACACCTGTAGTCCCAGTTACTCCGGAGGGTGAAGTGGGAGAATTCCTTGAGCCTGGGAGGTCAAGGTTGCAGTTAGCCAAAATCATGCCACTTGCACTCCAGCACCTGCAACAGAGTGAGACCCTGTGTCAAAAAAAAAAAAAAAAAAAGTAAGTGGGAAAGAAACTTATATTTACATAACTTACATATTGGTCTGTTGCAGTAACAAATGACTTTTTTTTGAGCCTTAATTTCTATATATTTGTCAATGACTTCATCAAAGTTAATCTTCACATACTCATATTCAATAGACAGTATAGCCAGATTTGTCAATCTGTCTTCACTTACTGTTGATGGAAGAACTTTTTATTAATTTTAATTTTGAAAAGTTTTCTTCAATTGAAGTATCCTATCTACAAATAGGACGTCTTAAACAAAAAGAACGTTTGTGGCAGAGATTCATAGCAATCCCCTCTCACAATGAAGTTTAAAAATTATATGTCTGTTTCTTCAGGGTTGAGTGGCTTTCAAATGTTTCTGTGTTTTAAATTTTAGCTGTTAAACACAGATAACTCCACGTAGTCATGTAAAATAACAGAATTAAAGTAACTCATGTTGTTTCTTCATCTTTACAATCTAGTATCATTATTTATACCAAGTTTACTGTTTAAATGCAGGGGTTAGAGACAAGAACAGCATCTGCAGTGAGCTCAAGCAATTCTGAACCATTATGAACTTACTCAAAACAAATGTGCAGCTGAGTATGATTGTGTCACAGGCTGACTCTGAATAGACTTCCATGTAGAATATGTTGTTTAAGTAATTAAAAATGTGCTAATTGGAAACGTATATATTGTTAAAACTCATAGTGTAACTGCACAATTGTCTAGAACTTAGACCAACAAAACATTTTGAGGAGAGGGTATTTTATCACTGACATAGTTTAAAATTGCTGGTGCATGGTGATAGTAAAAAGTAGATCTATCTTCAGTCAGTTTTATTACTACTTTCAAATTCTCTACACTTAGCTTACCTCCTTAATGCATTCATTCAGAGCAGACTACTCCCACCACCCAATCCTTGGCACACCACTGACTCTAGGTAGGTTTCTAGTTTTAGTCTAAGCTATATCCCTATTTCTGGTATTTAGACTTAAAAGACCAGTGTATTAGGCCAACTAGGAATTTGCATGAATTGATTTGCATGAAGTTTGGAGAGGAGGAAGAGGTCATAAAAATAGCAGGGTGACACCAGGTGCTGTGGTTGCATGCCTGTAACCCCAGCTACTTGGGAGGCTGAGGCAGGATGATCTCTTGCGCCAGGAGTTTGAGTCTAGCATGGGCAACATAGCAAGACCCTGTTTTAAAAAATTGTTTTTAAGTGAATGTAACAATTGGGAAGGTAGCATGGGAGTCCTAAAGAATGGGCCCCCCCTAATGAACTTAAGTTTGAGCCCCTTAGGGACCAGTACTCCAATCTAGAAACCGAATAGGCTATTTTTATTTTTTAACTTTTAATTTTTAATTTTTATGGGTACATAGTAGCTGTGTATATTTACGAAGTACATGAGATGTTTTGATACAGGCATGCAATGCATATAGAAGATGGGTTATCCATTTCCTCAAGTATTTATCCTTTGTGTTACAAGCAATCCAATTATATTATTTTAGTTATTTTTAAATGTACAATAAAATTATTATTGACTATAGTCACCCTGTTGTGCTATCAAATACTAGGTCTTATTTATTCTTTCTATTTTTTTTGTACCCATTAACCATCCCCACTTCCCTCCAACCCCCGCTACCCTTCCCAGCCTCTGGTAACCATGCTTCTACTCTCTGTCTCCATGAGTTCAATTGTTTTGATTTTTAGATCTTACCTGTAAGTGAGAACATGTGATGTTTATCTTTCTGTGCTGGGCTTATTTCACTTAACATAATGACCTTTGGTTCCATCCATGTTGTTGTTGCAAATGACAGGATCTCATTCTTTTTTATGGCTGAATAGTACTCCATTATGTATAAGTACCACATTTTCTTTATCCATTCATCTGTTGATGGACACTTAGGTTGCTTCCAAATCTGGATCATGTGATAGTTCTATTTTTAGCTTTTTGAGGAACCTCCAAACTGTTCTCTATTTTCGTTTCACTAATTTACATTCTCACCAACAATGTACAAGGATTCCCTTTTCTCCACATCATCACCAGCATTTGTTATTGCCTGTCTTTTAGATATAAGCCATTTTAACTGAGGTGAAATGATATCTCGTTACAGTTTTGATTTGCATTTCTCTGACGATCAGGGATGTTGAGCATCTATGCCTGTTTGTACGTCTTTTTTGTTTTTTTTTAAGACAGAGTCTCGCTCTGTCACCCAGGCTGGAGTGCAATGGCATGATCTCAGCTCATTGCAACCTCTGCCTCCCAGGTTCAAGGGAGTCTCCTGCCTCAGCCTCCAGAGTAGCTGGGATTACAGGTGCGTGACACCACGCCTGGCTAATTTTTTTTTTGGTAGAGATGGGGTTTCGCCATTTTGGCCAGGCTGGTCTCAAACTCCTGACATCAGGTGATCCACCCGCCTCGGCCTCCCAAAGTGCTGGGATTACAGGCACGAGCCACCGTGCCTGGCCTGTATGTCTTCTCTTGAGAAATGTCTATTCAACTTTTTTTTTTTTTTTTGAGATGGAGTTTCACTCTGTCACCCAGGCTAGAGTGCAGTGGCGCAATCTCGGCTCACTGCATCCTCCCCTCCCGGGTTTAAGCAATTCTCTGCCTCAGCCTCCTGAGTAGCTGGGATTACAGGCACCCACCACTATGCCTGGCTAAATTTTTTTGTATTTTTAGTAGAGACAGGGTTTCACCATCTTGGCCAGGCTGATCTTGAACTCCTGACCTCATGATCCATCCGCCTCGGCCTCCCAAGTGCTGGGATTACAGTCGTGAGCCACCGCGCACCTGGCTATTCAACTATTTTGTCCATTTTTAATTGGATTATTAAATTTTTTTCCTATAGAGTTGTTTGAGCTCCTTATATATTCCAGTTATTAATCCCCTTGTCAGATGGATAGTTTGCAAATATTTTCTCCCATTCTTTGGGTTGTCTCTTCACTTTGTTGATTGTTCCCTTTGGTGTGCAGAAGCTTTTTCATGTGATGTGGTCCCATTTGTCCATTTTTGCTTTGGCTGCCTGTGCTTTTTGGGTATTACTCAAGAAATACTTTGCTCAGACCAATGTCTTGGAGAGTTCCCCCAACTTTTCTTTTAGTAGTTTCATAGTTCGAGGTCTTAGATTTAAGTCTCTAATTCATTTTCATTTGAGTTTTGTATATCGTGAGAGATAGGGGTCTAGTTTTATTCTCTGCAGATAGAGGTCCAATTTTCCCAGCACCATTTATTTAAGAGATTGTCCTTTCACCAATGTATGTTCTTAGCACCTTTGTCAAAAATGAGTTCACTGTAGGTGTGTGAATATATTTCTGGGTTCTCTATTCTGTTCCATTGGTCTATTGTGTCTGTTTTTCTGCCCGTACCGTGTTGTTTTGATTACTATATTTCTGTGGTATAATTTTAAGTCAGGTAATGTGATTCCTCCAGTTTTGTTCTTTTTGCTTTATCCTAAGATTTGCTATTCTGGGTCTTTGTTGTTCTATATAAATTTTAGGATTTTTTTTTCCATTTCTGTGAAGAATGTTATTGGTATTTAGATAGGGATTGCATTGAATCTGTAGCTTTCTTTGGGTAGTATGGACATTTTAACATTGATTCTTCCACTCCATTAACATTTTTTGATGTTCTCTTCAATTTCTCTCATCAGTGATTTATAGTTTTCCTTATAGAGATCTTTTCCTTTTTTAAGTTAATTCCTAGGTATTTAATTTTATTTGTGGCTATTGTAAATGGGATTACTTTTTTCTTTTTTTTTTTTTTGAGATGGAGTCTTGCACTGTCACCCAGGCTGGAATGCAGTGGCACGATCTTGGCTTACTGCAACCTCCACCTTCTAGTTTCAAGCGATTCTCCTGCCTCAGCCTCCCAAGTAGCTGGGATCACAGGCACCCACCACCATGCCCGGCTAATTTTTTGTATTTTTAGTAGAGACGGGGTTTCACTGTGTTGGCCAGGCTGGTCTTGAACACCTGACCTCATGATCCACCTGCCTCGGCCTCCCAAAGTGCTGGGATTACAGGCGTGAGCCACTGCGCCCGGCCTGTAAATGGGATTACTTTTTAATTTCTTTTTTAGATTGTTCACTGTTAGCATATAAAAACACTACCAATTTTTGTATGTTGATTTTGTATCCTGCAACTTTTCTGAATTTGTTTATCAGTTCTAATTGTTTCTTGTGGAGTCTTTAGATTTTTCCAAATATCAGAAAATATCATCTACAAACAATGATAATTTGACTTCTTCTTTTCCAATTTGGATGCCCTTTAATTTGTTCTCTTGTCTGATTTCCCCAAATGGCTATTTTTAGAAATTACTCTGGGAGACCATAAGTCACAATTGGCTTTGCTTGGTTCCCAGGTATATAAAGTGAGGGAGAAGGGCATTCTCACCTCTTCTGCCCCAAATATTGCCCACTGAGAACTTGAAGAAGTTTATACTATTTTGGCACCTAAAGGATTTCTATCAGCTTTGGGGGCATCAGGAGATAATGCCTTTGGAATGAACATCAGAATATTCAAGATGCTAGGCATCAGGGCCAGTGGCAGTGCAGAGGCATCGTTAAGTAATACTACAGGCAGTGGGAAGTCAGGAGATTTCACTGAAGGGAGTCTAGCAGAAGAGTACTACATGACAGATGGTAGAAGAGGGACTATTCATGACCTCACATGAGATATGCTCAGACTTTCAGACATAGCTGGGTGAGATTTTGGAGGTGGGAGATTGGAGATCCAATAATAATAATCATAGTAATAATAATACCTAAAAAAACCTCTTTAAGTACCCAGCTGTACACTAGATTTCTTACTTTTCATAGGATCATTCTACTCCTACAAACATACTCTAGTATCTTATATTTAGAAACCTTCCTTTGACACTAAATTCACCTTCACCTATCACCTCATTTCTTTGCTCCTTTTCACAGCAAAATTCTCAAGCTTTTCTGCACTCACTGTCCATTCTTCCTCATCTCCCATTTACTCTTCAACCCACTTCATTTTGGCTTCTGCCCTTATTACTTCATATGTAACTGAGACTACTCTTGCCAGTGTCACCAACAACCTTAGTATTACCAAATACAATCTTTCCTCATTCTACTTGACCTCTTTGCAGTCTTCAACACTTTTCTTCTTGAACTTTTCTTTCTTATGTCTATGACATCATTGTCTCCTGATTTTTCTCCTCACCTCTCTGGTTCTTTTTCTTCAGCCATTTATTTATTTTTTCCTGATTCTTCTGATACTTGAGCTCTAATTGTTGGCATGTTCCCCAGGTTAACTTACCCAGTCCCAAAACCGTAAAGCTAAATTTTATCTCCAGGTTTAACCTCTTCTCAGCGTTCGAGACACTTATATATAACCATTTATTTGACTTTATCACTTGGAGATCTAATAAGCATCTCAAATTCAACAGGTCTAAAACTGAACTCCTACTATTTTCTGTCTTCCCTCCATCAAAAAAAAAGCCCTTTTCTTTCTTGGTTCTCTTCACAGTAGGCACTCGATAAAAATGAATAGAATGAATGAAAGAATGTTTACCTTACTACATGTCATTCTATCAGTAACCTTATACAGTCATTGTAGCTGCTATTTTTAGCCCCATCCTTAAAATGAGGGAATTAGAGAGGTAAAGTACAACTTGCCTAAGGTCACAAAGCTTGTAAAGATTCAGGGCCAGGCTTTTAATCTGTGTGCTTTTCTCTAAAGCTCACATGCTTCTTCTCTATGCCACAGTGGCTTCCATTGAAACAAGGATGATTATTATAAGTTAAGATTATATTTATGACCATAAACTAGTATAAATTAGAAAAACATAGGTTATATTATTAATAATGATAATGATGATAACAATGATTATCAGCTTTCACATACCAGGCATCATGAGAGGCTTTTAAAAAATTAATCAAGTTTATTATTTGGGACAGTTTTAGATTTACAGAAAAATTGAGCAGATAGTAAGTACAGAGAGTTCCCTTATATCCCTGACCCGATCCATACAGCTTCCCCTATTATTAACATCTTTCATTATAGTATGGTACATTGTTATAATTAATAAACCAAAAGATACATTATTATTAACTAAAGTCCACAGTTTATTCATGTTTTCTTAAGCTTTACCTAATGTCCTTTTTCTGTTCCATAATCCCATCCAGGATCCCACATTACATCTAGTTCTATTGTCTCCGTAGGCCCCTGTTGGCTGTGACATTTTCTCCGACTTTGTTTTTGATGACCTTGGCAGTTTTGAAGAGTACTGGTCAGGTTATATTGTAGGATGCCTCTCTATTAGAATTTGTCTAATGTTTTTCTCATGATTAGACTGGGGTTATAAATTTTTTAAAGGAAGATCACGAATGTAAAGTGCCATTTTTATCACACAGCAGGATTATATACCACCAACACGGTTTAGGACAGTTGATGTTGACCTTCATCATCCAACTAAAGTAGTGTTTGTCAGGGTTTTCCACTGTAAAATGTCTCTTTTTTTCTGCCTTTCCATACTGTACTCTTTGGTAGAAAAGTCACTATATGCAGCCCACACTTCAGGAGTGGAGAGGCTCCCCTTCTTTAGGGTGGAGTATCTGCATAATATATTTGGAATTCTTTGGTATGAGAGATGTATCTATTTGCTTCAATTTATCAATTTATTCAATCATTTATTTATATTAGTATGGACTCGTAGATATTTATTTTATAGTTTGGGTATAATCCAATGCTACTTTATTTATTTTATTGCTCAAATTGTTTCACTTTTGGTCATTATGGGTTCTTTCAATGGGCTTTTGTGCCCCCTTGACATATCCCATCTGTGTGTGTGTGTGGGGGGGGTGTTTTGAAAAATTCCTTACTTACAAGATGATCCAGGTTCATCTTGTGTATTTGCTGCCCCAGTTCCTAGAATCAGCTATTTCTCCAAGAAGCCCTGGATCCTTTTCATAGAGAATAGTATTAGAAACCAAGATCTGGGCACTAAGTCTGCTCATTGCTAATGGCGTATCATTTCTTCTAGGCCTTCTCAGCTGATAGATCAAAGAAATATATGTGCGTATACTAATCCATGTGTATACACATATCTGTAAATATTTATAAATGTAACCATTTGTATCTATATTAAGTTAAACATGAGTTCTTACTGATATCTCCAACTCTAGTCCACTACCACATGGATTATTCTAGCCTGTTCCCCTGGCTTGTCGGTAATCTCCCACTCAGGAGAGAAATTTTATGTATATGAACTTACTTAATCCTGTGAGGTAGCTATTATTACCTCATTTTATAGTTGAAGAAACTGAGGCTCAATGATGATAAATTTTTTCAAATACATAGCGATTAGGAGGTGTAACTAAACTGGGCATGGTGGCTGATGCCTGTAATCCCAGAACTTTGGAAGGCCGAGACAAGGGGATCACGTGAGCCCATGAGTTTGAGACCAGCCTGGGCAACACAGTGAGCCCACCATCTAAAAAAAAATTTAAAAAGAAAAAGAGGTGTAACTAGGACCTCTTCTGGGGGAAAAAGAACACACAAGTTGTGGGATTGAGAAGGTATATGGTTTGTGCAGTAGTACATACTGATGAGTCAGTAAAATAGATTAAATTTATGTTGGTATGACCTTGAATTGAACACTGATGATTTTGATATTATACCAACTGTTTAAATGTCATGCACATCTCTTGAGGAGCAAATTATTACACTAAAGATCCATTATTAATTATACATCTCCCCATGAGTCAACTGCAAAACTGTTTAAATTTCTTTTGTATCGTTTTTTTTTTTTTGAGACAGATCTTGCTCTGTCGCCTAGGCTGGAGTGCAGTTGTGTGATCTCTGCTCACTGCAACCTGTGCCTCCCAGGTTCAAGCAATTCTCCTGACTCAGCCTCCCGAGTAGCTGGGATTACAGGTGCCCACCACCATGCCCAGCTAATTTTTGTATTTTTAATAGAGATGAGGTTTCATCATGTTGGCCAGGCTGGTCTCGAACTCTTGACCTCAAGTGATCCACCCACTTCGGCCTCCCTCTTTTCTATCTTTTAAAAGAGTCATCACTGGTTCCTAAATTCATAAAGATTATTGGGCATTGTATAATTTTAATCAATTAAAGGATAACAAATGGGAATGGACTTGACAGGTAATTTGTACCTTTAGTCAAATTTTTCCTGACCCAAAAAATCCAAAACAACAACCATTCTCCTACCTTCCATAAAAAAGTTATGACCTACCTTGATTTTTTTGTTTTTTTGAGTCAGAGTCTCACCATGTAACACAATCATAGCTCACTGTAACCTTGAACTCCTGGACTCAAGCAATCCTCCCGCTTTGGCCTCCCAAAATGCTGGGATTACAGGCATGAGCCACAATGCCAGGCTTGAAGTCTTAATCTTTGCTCATTGAAAAGAGGGCTTTGTGATTTAAAAGTTTGGAAAACACTGCATATATATCAACCCCCTCCTGGAAATTCTAATGTGCCTATTAAGTAACTGAGACAAAAATCAACAAAAAATTAACTTTCAAGTAAATATTTCCCAAATATATTTGTTCATAGAATGCCTTGTTTTAATGTAAGGGCGACTAATATCACACAGACCTATATTTGGAAGGCAATGTTTTATTCATTTCATAAGAGAAGGAACTTGGGCCATGTTTTTCTGTTTCCAGAACCTAAAACGGCCTGGCACATAGTAGGTGCTCAATTAATAATTGTTTGTTAAGTAAGTGGACAAGCAAATATGTATTATCTACTATATGGCAGTCACAAGGAATATAATGGTGAAAAAATAAACATGGTCCCTGTCCTCATGTAACTTACAATCTACTGGAGAAGATTATAAAAAAAGCAAGTAAAAAGGTTAAATCTTAGATAAGAGTTATTAATACAAAACTCTTTAGATAAAAGTTATGGAAACAAACAATGTTGAGATGAAGAATAAAGGAGGTGGAGGGAGCGTTACTTTCAAAAATAAGCAGCTAGCTTTTTAATGCATTTACTCAGACAAATCTATAGCTAACCAGAATCTGAGTATTTCAAACATCAACCTTCATTCAGATCACATATTCACAAAGATTGTATTAATCAAGGTCCTTGCATAAAACAGATGGGCATACTCAAAAGGACTAAAATTAAGAGAGTTTTATAGAACTATTTAGAGGCCGGGTGCGGTGGCTCACGCCTGTAATCCCAGTACTTTGGGAGGCCCACGTGGGCGGATCACTTGAGGTCGGGAGTTTGAGACCAGCCTGGCCAACGTGGTGAAACCCCATCTCTACTAAAAATACAAAAATTAGCCGGGTGTGGTGGCGCACGCCTATAATCCCAGCTACTTGGGAGGCTGAGGCAGGAGAATTGCTTGAACCCAGGAGGCAGACGTTGCAGTGAGCCGAGATTGTGCCACTGCACTCCAGCCTGGGCAACAGAGCAAGACTCCGTCTCAAAAAAAACAAACAAACAAAAAAGAAAAAACTATTTACAGAGGTGTGGACAATATTAAGGGAAAAAAACAAGGGAAGAGGCTGGGTGCGGTGGCTCACACCTGTAATCCCAGCACTTTGGGAGGCTGAGGCAGGCAGATCACGAGGTCAGGAGTTTGAGACCAGCCTGACCAACATGGTGAAACCCCGTCTTTACTAAAAATACAAAAAAAATTAGCCGCGCGTGGTGGCGCACACCTGTAATCACAGCTACTCAAGAGGCTGAGGCAGGAGAATAGCTTGAAACCAGGAGGCAGAGGTTGCAGTGAGCTGAGATTGTGCCACTGCACTCCAGCCTGGGCGACAGAGCAAGACTTTGTCTCAAAACAAACAAACAAACAAAAAAAAAAAAAAGAGAAGAAAAACATCTTAAGAACCAAAGACAGCCAGAAGCCATTAGCAACACCCTTAGAACTGAAGGACAAGGGAATCAATGGGAACAAGGCATTAGGTGTCAGCTGAAAATGAATTATATTTATATCAATATAAATATAATAAATATAATAAATTATGTATAAGCATAGGTCATATGGAGGCAGCACAAACCACTTCTATATAAATAGGCCTAAATTATAATTCCATGTAGGCAAAAATTAAGATTTTGTACCTCAGCACCTATTACAGTCCTCACATATAGTGGTACTGTTGGATCTAATTTGTACATGTGTATTGAATGTACAAATTGCATCCGACAGACATAACTTTCTTGAATAGCAACAATCATATGAGATTAAATGTAAAGAACTTATTTCTTTTAAAGAGTTATAATTCTTCTAAAATTTTGCAGTTAAAGCAGTTATTACAGTTACTTTTATAAGACTGTGTTTCAAGTTTAGAACTATGCCCTAATTGGCAATTATATATTTCAAATGAAGAAAACTGTTCTCTTGGGGGTCTAATGAAGAAACCAGATAAATCAGCAATAGACTGAGCAGAGGTTTTAAAGGATACTTGAACAAAAATGTAAAGCAGGTCTACTTTTATGTTTAAGTGTGTGAGCACTGAATTAAAGAGCCCCTTAGAAAAAACTATTTTTGGCCAGGCATGCTGGCTCATGCCTGTAATCCCAGCACTTTGAGAGGCTGAGGTGGGTGGATCACGAGGTCAGGAGATCGAGACCATCCTGGCTAACACGGTAAAACCCCGTCTCTACTAAAAATAAAAAAAAAATTAGCTGGCGTGGTGGCACGCACCTGTAGTCCCAGCTACTCGGGAGGCTGAGGCAGGAGAATCACTTGAACCCGGGAGGCAGAGGTTGCAGTGAGCCGAGACCACGCCACTGCACTCCAGCCTGGGCGACAGAGCGAGACTCCATCTAAAAAAAAAATAAAAAATAAAAATAAAAAAAAAGAAAGAAAACAAAGAAAGAGAAAAGTATTTTTAGGCTGGGTGTGGTGGCTCACTCCTGTAATCCCAGCACTCCGGGGGGCCGAGGCAGGTGGCTTGCTTGAGGTTAGGAGTTCCACAACAGCCTGGCCAACATGGTGAAACTCGGTCTCTACTAAAAATACAAAAATTAGTCGGGCGTGGTGGCAGGCACCTGTAATCCCAGCTACTCAGGAGGCTGAGGCAGGAGAATTGCTTGCACCGGGAGGTGGAGGTTGTAGTGAGCTGAGATCGCACCACTGCACTCCAGCCTGGGTGACACAGCAAGACTCTGTCTCACAAAACAGAAAGCATTTTTGCCATATAAAGGAATTTATCATGATTGCATATAACATCAAATTGTTCCATTCTATGTCAAAAAGGATTTATTAAGTATTAATATGAATTTTTAAAAGAATAAACTGGCTCTAGATAATTTAAAATATGCTAAAAAAAGATTTGTTTAGGTTGCATAAATTAATTCACATTTGAAAACAAGCATGTTTTCTTATGTTTACACATGAGAATATTTTATAGCGCACCATAACACTAAATGCTGTTTTTCTTTCCATTTTTCCTAGTCTACCACATATGTATAGAATTTTAATGTTTATAACAGAGAACATAAGCAATTAAACAGTCATCCCACAGCATTTTAGCCAAAATCTATCTTTTTGCCAGTATCCATTCATCCAGATGCTTTGGGGAGAAATCACTCAATGCCCCAGAGATGGGCATGACTCAAGTTTGGCCAAAGCCATAGTGATTACATCAGAGATTGGTATACCAGCTAATTAGAGCCAGTAAGGCACGATGATGAAGAAGGTAAAAAGTCATCAGATTCATAATACATACACATATAAGTATATATAAAACATAAATATATTTTGGTGATGCAGCTGACAGAATTTGCTAATAATTTAGATAACAGACAGGAAGAATCAAGATTGATTGTCCTTAGCATTTGGGTGATTGTAGGCCGTTTACTGAGAGGAAACATGGTTTCCTGGAATGAAAGTTAAAAGTTTCATGGAATGAAAGTTAAAAGTTTTATGGAATAAAAGTTAAAAGAATAAAAGTTAAAAGTTTAGTTTGGGACATCATAAATTTGAGATGCCTACTAGACACACAATAAGAGATGTCAAGTAAACAGTTGTACAAATGAGTTTAAGGGAAATTTATAATTCCTTAGGGTAGATTCCTAGTAGTAGAGTTGCTGGATCAAAGGTTATGTGCATTTTTAGTGTTGTGCTGGAGCCAATATAGTTGGCTTAGTGTTGGCTAAGATAGTGTTGACTAAGATGGCCAGTGCAACATTGAATAGAAGTAGAGTCTGCATCCTCACCTTGTTCTGATCTGAGAGAGAAACCTCAATTACATACGAGGTTAGCTGGCTGGGCATGGTGGCTCACACCTGTAATCTCAGCACTTTGGGAGTCCGAGGCGGGCGGATCACAAAGTCAAGAGTTCGAGACTAGCCTGGTGAACATGGTGAAACCCCATCTCTGCTAAGACTACAAAAATTAGCCAGGTGTGGTGGCACGTGCCTGTAATCCCAGCTACTCGGGAGGTTGAGGCAGGAGAATCGCTTGAACCTGGGAGGTGGAGGTTGCAGTGAGCCGAGATAGCACCACTGCACTCCAGCCTGGGTGACAGAGCGAGACTCTATCTCGGGGGAAAAAAAATGAGGTTAGCTGTAAGTTTTGCCTAAATGCCCTTTAGAGAATAAAGAAGTTCTATTTTCTTACTATTTTTGAGAGTTTCTTTTTCAATCATGAATTGGTGTTGAGTTTTGCAAATGCTTTTTCTACATCAATTGAATTGACCATATGGTTTTTCTCCTATATTTTGTGAATGTAGTGAATTAAATTGATTGACCTTTGAATGTTAAAACAACCTTGGACTTCTGCACTAAACTTCACTTGCTCAAACTATATTATATATTACTGAATTCTATTTGCTAATATTTTGTTAAGAATTTTTGTATCTGTTGCCAGATGCAGTGGTTCATGCCTGCAATTCCAGCACTTTGGAAGGCCGAGGCAGGAGGATCACTTGAGGTCAGATCGAGACCAGCCTGGCCACCATGGTGAAACCCCATCTCCACTAAAAAAAAATTAAAAAAAATTAGCTGGGCATGGTGGCACATGCCTGTAGTCCCAGCTACTCAAGAGGCTGAGGCAGGAGAATCACTTGAATCTGGGAGGTGGAGGTTGCAGTGAGCTGAGACCGTGCCACTGCATCCCAGCCTGGGTGACAGAGTGAGACTCTGTCTCAAAAATAAATAAATAAATAAACAAATAAATAAAATGAAAAAAAGGAATTTTTGTATCTATGTTCGTGAAGGATAATCTTTTATTTTCTTGTAATGCCTGTTTCAGTATCGGGTTATGCTGACATCATAAAATGAATCAAAAATTATTTCTCCCTTCTCTATTTTCTGAGTTTGTGTAGTATTGTTTCTTAAAAGTTTGGTAAAATTAACCAGTAAAGCCATTCGTGCCTGGAGTTTCTTTTACAGGAGTGTTTTAAATTAAGAATTCAATTTCTTTCTTTCTTTTTCTCTCATTTTAGCATAAATTTGTTCACAGTATTTTCCTTTATCCTTTAAATATCTGTAGTAATAAATTTTGTTTTCTGTATTTCTTGGTCAATCTAGCTAAAGGTATATCAGTATTATTAACCTTTTCAAAATATCAACTCTTGGTATTTTCTAAGAACAAGGATATTCTCCTACAGGTAATCATAATGGCATTATCTCACCCAAGAAATTTAAAACTGATATGATAATCTTGTCCAATCTTCAGTCCATATTCACATTTCCCTAATTGTCCACAAATGTCCTTCAAAGTTGTCTTTATTCAGTTGAGAATCCAAGCAAAGACCATGCATTGTTGCTGCATGTATTATCTTTTTAGTCACTTTTAATCTATAAAAGTTCCCCTTGCTTTTTTTCCCTTAGATAATATTGACTTATAAAAATATGGCCAGGCGGGCTGGCGCGGTGGCTCATGCCTGTAATGCCAACACTTTGGGAGGCCAAGGCGGGCAGATCACCTGAGGTCAGGAGTTCGAGACCAGCCTGACCAACATGCAGAAACCCCGTCTCCACTAAAAATTCAAAATTAGCTGGGCATGGTGGCACGCACCTGTAGTCCCAGCTACTCAGGAGGCTGAGGCAGGAGAATCGCTTGAACCTGGGAGGTGGAGGTTGCGGTAAGCTGAGATCGCGCCATTGCACTCCAGCCTGGGGAACAAGAGTGAAACTCCATCTCAAAAAAAAAAAAAAAAGGCCAGGAGTGATGGTGGTTAACGCCTGTAATCCCAGCACTTTGGGAGGCCGAGGTGGGTGGATCACCTGAGGTCAAGAGTTCGGGACCAGCCTGGCCAACTAACATGGTGAAACCCCATCTCTACTAAAAATACAAAAATTAGCTGGGCATGGTGGCACGTGCCTGTAATCCAAGGTACTCGGGAGGCTGAGGCAGGAGAATCACTTGGACCCGGGAGGTGGAGGTTGCAGTGAGCCGAGATGGTGCCACCATATTCCAGCATGGACGAGAGAGTGAGACTCCTTCTCAAAAATAAAAAAATAAAAAAAATAGTCTAGCCAATTGTCTCACAGAATGTCTCACAATCTGTTTTTAAGTATTGCCTTTCAAAAATTAGGTTAAACATTCTTGGCAAGAATACTTCATAGCTGATATTGTGTACTTCCCACTGTATCACATCAGGAGGCAACGGTGAGTTCATTCCGTTATGGTCATGCTAAGTTTGATCACTTGATTAAAGTGGTGTCCAAAAGATCTCTCCATTGGATACTTTGAGATTATGTAAATATCCTGTTCCCCAGCAAAGTTTCATTCTAATTGAATGAAACTAATTCAATTTCTAATTGAATATTACATTTGTGGGAAAATAGGATTTCTTAATTCTATCACTCGTTCTGCTTTCTTTTTAAATTCAACATATATTTACTGGGTGCCTACCATATTCTAGTTACCATGCTAGGAATTAGATAGTGAAGTGAGCAAAATAAACGCTTTTCTTCATTGTCTATAGTGGGAAAGAAATAAGGAAACAAACTCTTTTCAGTACTCCAAGAAGCTACATAAATTAAAAATCTAAAGAACAAGTTATATTTGTAGTCATCATTATCTTTGTATTAAGTAAACGGCAGTAGGTGTACATCTTTAAAAAAATTTGTTTCTCTCCTTTTTAAAAAACTGATACATAATTACATCTCATAAAATTCATCCTTTTAATAAAGTTTACAATTTAGTAGTTTTTAGTATATTCATAAAGTTGTTCAGCAATCACCACAATCCAGTTCACCAACATTTTCATCACCCTGAAAGGAACTTTGTACCCATTAGCAGTCATTCCTAGTCTCCCCCTCTCACAGCCCCTGACAACCATTAATCTACTCCTGTCTGTATAAATGTGCCTATTCTGGATATTTAATATAAATTGAATTATACAATATGTGGTCTTTTTGTTGGCTTTTTGCACTTAGCATAATGTTTTCAAGGTTCATCCATGTTGTAGCATTTATCAGCACTTCTTATGACTAAAAATATTTCTTTGTATAGATACAATATTTTGTTCATCTATTCATCACTCCATATCAGTTTATACAGCGCTTCCTAACTTCATTAAATTATAAACTTCTTTTCAAAAGACACAAGCTGGGCATGGTGGCACACATCTGTAATCCCTGCTACTTGGGAGGCTGAGGTGGGAGGCTCACTTGAGCCCAGGAGTTGAGCCCAGCTGGGCAACACAGTGGGACCTTGTCTTGGGGAAAAAAAAAAAAAGACACAAGAAAAATGACAAAACAAGCCACAGACTAGGAGACAATATCTACAAAACACATAGTTGATAAAAGACTTGTATCCAGAATGTACAAAGGACTCTCAAAACTCAATAATAAGATAATAAAACAGAAACATAAAGATGAGCAAAAATTTTGAATAAACACTTAATTTAACTTTTCCCTAGATGTACTACCCTTTGGGATACTAGCTTTTTAAAGGGGCCTTCTATCAGTCTTCTCACTTTGCAGTTTCCCTAAGCTTTGGCTTTTATCCCTCTCTGAGTCCCTTTAAAATGAAATTTGTAGTTTACCAGGTGTTAGGAGTTGAACTGTGTCACTCCAGAAGATGCTGAAGTCCTAACCTCCAGTACCTGTGAATGTGACCTTATTTGGAAATAGGATCTTTGCAGATGATCGAGTTAAGATGAAGTCATTAGGGTGGGCCCTAATTCAATATGACTGATGTCTTTATGAAAAGTGAAGACACTGAAGGAAAGCCATCTACAAGCCTGGAATGCCTGAGGCTATCAGAACCCAGGAGAAAGGAATGAAACAATTCCCCTCACTGCCCTCAGAAAGAACCAATTCTATAAACACCTTGATTTCAGACTTCCAGGCACCAGAACTGTGAGACAATAAATTTTGGTTGTTTAAGGCACTGAGTTTGTGGTACATTTTTACAGCAGCCCCACGAAACGAATACACCAGGGATCAGTAGCTGCCCCCCAGAGCAGCTGGCATCAGGACTTGGCTTTCTCTCATTTTTGGTCTCTGTAGATTTTTCTTACTTTTTTACTAATGCAACTCTGCATTCCAAAATATGTTTTCAAAAATTTATTTGTTGTGTGCTGGCAAGATTTTTTAGGATATTTAATTTTCATTTTGTTGGAAATGGAAGTCTACTTGATTCTTCAATAATAACTTTCTGAAAATGGGGTTTGGTTTCTCTCAGGTACTTATTATTACTTTCCAAGTGAAATTTGTTATTTATTTTACATCTCAATTATGCCTAATATTCTATTGTATTCTGTACATGGCATTTTGTTTCTCACAAAATTGCTAGTTTCTTGAGAGTTGAGATGGTGTCTTACTTACCATTGAATACAAGCATATAGAACAATACCTCACATATAATAGGTATTTGTAAATTACCTATTGGTTATTAAACTGAATGTACTTGTATATTGAGCAGATGCATAGGTATGTAAAGTTGCTTGGAGTGATAATTTTAAGTCTTAATTTGAAGTTTTTATTAATTCACAAATGTCTGTGTTACTCAGGGTCATGGTCACCTAGGATGGGTTTTCTTTTCTTTCTGATTAATATAATTAAATCTAGGTCTCAGGAAACCTATAGGTTTACGGCCTTTCAAGTTTCCTGTATTAGAGTTTGAAGTGACTTTATTAATAAATAATATTTGTAAATATTACAACTCTGTAAATATTGTTATACCCATTTTTCAAATACAGAAAGTAAAGGTCAGAAAGATTAAATGCCTGTTCCAAGGTGTGATACATAATAAGTACCAGAGTTAGAAACAAGTTTATTTTGCCCTAAAGCCATTCACTATTCTATACTACTTATTATGGATCCCATTTTGTAATGATTATGAAACTCCTTGCTGTTTTTCTATTCCTATTTGTATCAGAGTATCATAATATTTACTTATTCCAAAATAATGAAAGGTATCTTTCAAAAGACCTGCTTATGTATGATTTTTATATTTTCTGTCCATGCAGTCACTTTCCATTGTTCACCTGATATATTTGTTAGACATAAACACCCTCAGAGGTTACATGCTAGAAAAACAAACATTTTTCTTCTCAGTAAGGAAAGGTTCCCACTGTAGGACATTCAAATCCATATCATTAGCCTTCTATAAGATTTTCCATGATAAGGGTGCTTTTGGGTGCAATGTGCACCACACACTACTATGCACTTGCTTATACCCTGCTTACTTTCCAGTTGCTTTAGTATGCCATATGTAAACTTCATTTACCCAAATCGTTTTTAAGTTCCTTGAGGTCAAGCATGGATTTTCTATTACTGTGTATTCCTGTAATAGCTGTCATTTATTAAAGGCTTACTGAGTACCAGGAACTTTGCACACATTTCATTTATTATTTACAATAACATGGCAAATTAGGTATTATTACCCCCATTTCACAGATGTGGAAAGCCTCAGATATAATTAGTCCCAAGACTGTAAACCTATTAAGTGACCATAATGATGGGTCCTTAATATGTGATTGTTGAGTTGATGGATTTGTGGTAATTTTCCTGAAAGATCTTTCCATCTGGCCATAGTGCAGTAGAAAAAGACACCAGTTTGTATCCTTATGCTATAAATTACTAGCTTGTGACTGTGGACAAGTTACTTAGCGTCATCAAATCTGAGTTCCTGATTTGTAAAATGGGATAATAAAGCCCAATCCATGAAGGAGTCTTAAATATTAAACTAGGTCATACAGATGCAAAATAAATATTGATTTATTAACTTGCTTATGTGTTTCTTTTCTCTCACTGAAATATACACTGAATGAATAAGTGAATAAATTAAGAAGTACCAAGAAAAGACATTTATCAAAGTATCTTTTTTGTATAAATATGATTTAATAGCCTATAAATTATGACAAAATTCAATATAATTCAATAGTTTTTAGCATTCTTCTATGCGAACATATTCACAACTACATTAAAACATCTTCAGATCATCCTCTCAGATCAATCACCATCACACTTGTAAATGCAGACCACTTGTTTTTAGCATGTTCAGATCCTTTTCCTAAATATCTAGGATTTTATTTCCTCCTACAATATTGGATAGGAGACAGTAATCTTTTAATCTAATGGAAAGATATTTAAATGCTTTTTTCACCACTCCTTTTCCCCAAATTAGTAGATGATTTTTGTGTGAGGTGATTTTTCTATCAGGTAATTTAGTATCGTTGTTCCATAGCTTGAATTTTATGTCGGATATTTCAATCCGCTTTCTCTTCAGCATGTTCTGTTGCTGAGTAGAGAAACCTCACAATGGCCATAGACTGTTCTATTGTTTAAATTCTATGTATTTAAACTCAAAACAATGATATAAAACATGACTTTACTGTAGAAATGATAAATTAATTGTACATTGATTTTAAAGATAATATCTTTGTTTGTGGAAAACAAAAAAGTGCTACTAAAAATTCCCAGATCTCCATCCTGGTAATTCAAAACAGAATATTTTCCTTAGAAGGCACTAATCTTTAAAATTCTTTTATGTTGGTAAGCCAAAACCTCTACTTGCTGATCTTAGGGCATGGTGCAAGATCTTTCAATAAGGTTTGATGAACCAACAAGTGTTCTGGAATATTTCTTGAGGAAATTTTAAAAATTAGAATATTAATAAGTTAATATGCATTGTTTATAGATAGTAGTCATATAGTTGAAGAACTGTGCATTTTGAACCTTTAAAATATGATAAATAAGCCTTTTTAAAAGAAAATGAAAGCAATCACTGATCTTCAGCTGATGTTGTTATGTACAATTCTCTATTATATTGCCAAATTAATATTTTCTCTATGACATCTGTGATGTCCCTCTGGACTAAAAAGACATATATATATTCTTTCTGTTAACTGTCTTTATACAGTTATTTGCTTTTCCATTAGGGGCATGGTATATTTAAACAACTGCAGGCAATTTATACTAGCTCAGAGTCATTTTGATCAGTCTTGGGCAAATTAACCAGCCTTCAGTCAGTTCAGTGCTCTCTCCTATGTGGCCCTACTCCGGCTTCACATTGAATAGTCCCTCAGTCTAGTCCAGATGTCCAACTGTATCCACTCACCCTTTCAGAATGATGTTGTGCTTGCTATTTTTAGATGGAATATGTGTCTGCTGTATGTTAGTAAAACATGTAAATTATGTATGTAATTTATACATGATATATATCAAGTAGTGTGTTTTTCTACTATGTGTTTCAAAAGCATTATCCAAATGAAAATGATAAAAAAACTTCCCACAAAACTGGAAAATGTTTCATACCAAGAAAGTTAATTTGTTTATATTTACCATTGTGATATAATGAAGGAAATTTTTTTGGTCTTGTTTGCCCTGCTTTTGGATTCTTGGGCAAATGTCTTTTACTGGTCTTTTTTTGTCCTTGCTTTTGGATTCTTTAGCAAGTTGTCCACCATGTAATTAATATTAAATTAACCTATAGGCATTGCTATCTAAAACTTTAAAATATTCATTGTTCCTCTTGTCACTGTCATACTTTCTTTTCTAATGTTTGAAATTTCTAAATTGCGGATAAGTGACTTTTTAATATATTTGCCTCATGACAAGCTTTTGAAACATTAACTTAGGTAGAATGAGGAGCTGCATTGGTGTTTTCAGTTCTAAGATTTTAATTTCTATCTTTCCCAGGATCATTAATTAAAATGATTTAACCTATATCTAAAAAAAATCAGTTTATATTTCTTTAGTAGATCATAATTTGTCATCTTAAAATAGTAATGTGAAGTGAATTGATAGTATTTGTTCCACATCCATTTGCTCAGTACTGAACTTTAGTAAGAAATATCTCAGCATATCCACATATACATAAGGATACTCATATAGGACAGGACCAACAACATTATTTTGATTAACTGGTTAGTACCAACTATATACTTATGGATAAACATAGCAAGCTTTGGTCCACATACAAAGTGCAAAATGTAACTATAAAATAACAACAATACAATTAAAATATGTAATTTACCAGTAGGAGTAATTTATTTTTAAAAAATTGCTTTGGATTTCATACCACAGTCTTTTCCTCATATTTTTCTGTAAAGTATTAACAAATTAACATTTTCTTAAAATGATTAGTCTTATCAATATGACAAATTAAAATGTTATTTTCTGAAGATCACAAATTAAGATTTTCTAGATCTTAATTCTATGCTGAAAATGTTAGCATGTATTGAAATGTTAAATATTATAAAACATTTCAACTAATTTATATGCCAAACATAAATACACAATTGATGTAATCTAATGTACACTTTTTTTCACTTAACTTTATTTTAAATACAATATAGGCTGAATGCTTTTTCACTCATAGGCCTATGATAAATTTGAATTAATGGGGATAATAACTACTTTTAGCATCATTAAACATGACTTTAAAAGTTGAAGTAATGTTTGTGAACAGGCAAATAGGTGGCTGAAGAATCAGGAGTAAAGAAGTATTGAAAACCTCTATCTACATGCTACTTTTGTTCATCACCTAAAATGTGGAGACAAAAAAATATACAGAGAAATTTTTTTAAAAAGTGGGGTGGACAGCCAAAACTATAGGTGATAATATAGTGAAATATTTTGTAAACCATTGTTTTTAATTATGTTTTGAAAAAGATACTCTGGAGTGATCAATTACTTTTATATCTCACGATTATTAAATGTTATCTTTCATAGTTAAAAAGCACACCACAGTATACAGTATTGTCTATGTGAATACTGAAACAAGGAATATTATCCTGTTAATCATCAAGTGCTGATTAATTTAACAATTTCATCCTATTTATTCTTCTAATATATGAGTTTTTATTTCATCTTGAATCATCACCACACTATAACATTATTGCTGATTTGCAAATTAATTATTCTAGGCCTTTCAATTGTTAGTATTTATTCACAGCTGTTCCAAAGTTTGACAAAAATAAGAATACATGTTCATTTTTAAATGGCCTGTATAGGTTTGGTGTGAAGTGCCTGAATTAGCAGAATCGGTATCAGAATGCTGATATATCACTGAGGACAGTTACTTTTTAATAAAATTATCAGAAGGAGAAAACTATGGAACAAGAATTGCCAAAAAAGTTCCAAAATGTAAGACAGGATATACTGTTACATTAGTTGTGTACGGAGTAGCCAAATTATAGAATAATTATTCCTAAAAATCAGTAAGTTTTTTTTTTATTTTAGAAAATAATGTTTCCAAAGCATAAATTTTAAGCTCAGGACAAACTTCTTTACCAGCCAGTTGTGCAGACTGTCCACTGAGAAGGAACAGGGAGTGGACTGTATTTTAATAGAGTTGTGATAAATAATTTAGTTGCATTTCTAAATTAAAAATTCAACATTAAAAGATGTTGGCAGTTTCCTTTTTATGTGATCTTTCACTATTCATACAACTAATCTGAAAATCTAAGACACATAATGAAAATAAAATTCGCATGATACTGCTTTATATGGTCAAGATAAAGTATCAGCTTTTTCTAAGTAACTACTCTTAGTTACTTAGAAAATTAAAAGAGCAGAAGCTTCTGTCTCCAAAAATGTCCAGGAAGATTTTTGAGTTTTTCATGCATCAGTTTCAGAAACTGTCCCATTATTTTCATGTTAAAAGACAATATCACTTTAATTATACCAAATTAAATGCGTATGAAGTCCTGATAAATTATTTCTTTCATAGCATTGGTTGTATGTAGCATTTCTTCTTAGTGCTCAAAAGAAATGACGTGTAGTTGGATAAGGATTGGTGGTTTTTTACTTCCTCCCCCAAAGAGCTGATGTTTTTGGCTGGTTGTTTTTTGTTTTTGTTTTTATTTGGTGGTGGGGGGAGACATGAGAGAAAAGAAAAAGGCTGTATTTAGAATTATTGAACAGGCCTACACTAAAATTCTTCCTTGTCCGATGAGGATGAGGGCTGGGGGAGAAAGGTGAGGTGGAACAATTGAAGTGTAATAGTATCTGCGTAGTTTTTTTAAATGTACAATCTCTCTCCCGGTCTCCGGTCCCCCTGCTCCTATGTGCTGGTACCTCTGGACTGTTCAGAAGCCATTTTAGAACTCAGGAAGCAAAATATGTGAGTTCCACTGTGCTTCTGCAGGTGCTGTGGTGGCAAGGATAACCTTTGCTCGCTTGCCGGGGGGTGTAACCACGCTGTTATTTAATGTCTTTGAGGATTAAAGACACCACAGAAAATTCCAAACCCACATCCTAACACCTGAAGCTCGCACAATGTTTCTAGAGCAAATGACAAAACATTTCACTGGAACCTTAATTTAGCAAGTCTGTGTCCAGATCTGGGGATTTTTTTTTAATTGTTTTGAGGCGTCGCTGATGATCCCTACAGTACTCGATTTTCAAAACTATTTCGGGTTGAAAAAAGACCCCTTTCTAGGTGTTTTGCGCACCCGAGCCCTGCAGTTCACGGTGTTTCGGGAGGAGGGTCTTTCGGAATTGAACGTGCATTGTCAGTCCTGGGCGTCTAGTAATTTGTGGGGTTGGGGGGGGGACCGACAAAACCATAGGTCAACTTCCCGAATAGTCTGAGGGGCTAAGAAGCCAGAGAGGCATTTGCCTCCTCGCAACTGGACGCGAGGCTCAGAGCCCGGCTGTCCTCAGCTGTCATGGGGGGAGGGGAAGGGAGTGCTGGCATCGAGGTCGGGCGCCGTTTGCTCAGCCTCCCCGCTGCGTCCCGCCGCCAGCTCACCTCCGCGAAGAGCTAGGCACTCACCGGCCCGCTGGCCCTTGCTCCCTGGCCGCCCTCCGGCCCCGGTCCTCAGGCACAGGTCGCCAGAACCGTCCAGTGGGATGGCTGCCGCCTCCTCGGGGACCGCTGCCTGAGGGCCAGGACCGGGGTCGCCTGGCCGCCCGGGGAACCCGCAGCTCCCGGGGCGCTGCGCCGGCGGCCGGGAGGCGCCGGCGCCCGCTCCCCCTCCCCGCCCCCCCGCTCCCGCCTCCTGCCCGCGGCGCGGTGCTCCTGCTCGCCCCGGCCGGCCGCGCGGCCGCGCACACACTCACTCCGAGGGCGCCTCCAAGGTTACCCGCGGGTGGGGGCTGGGGCAGACTCCGGCCACTGGCCTCCTTCGCTGCTTTCCTATCGCCGCGGCCCTTCTGCCGCTCCAGGGCCACTGGGATCCAAATCCTAACGCAGAAGACACTCCAAAGTCCGGGGAGGGAAGTCAAGCTGAGAGGCAGGCCGGCATCTGGGCAGGGGGCGGCCTTAGTTGCCTCCGGGTGCCCGGACAGCCGGGTCAGGCGAGGTCGCGGCAGGAGGGGGCTGTGACTCCGGCGGGCGCGCTCCGTACAGCGCAAGCTGGGCTGGGGGCAGCGCGCGGGGGCTGCAGGCAGCACCGAGGCGCCCGAGGCGCCCCGGGCCCGTAGGGGGGCAGAGACAAGCGGGCTGCCAAACCTGCCGAGGAAACTAACTAAATAAAAGGAGACTGTTATTTAAGGCGCGGAAATTTGAAATATTTGGACAGGAAGAGAAAAGAAAAGAAACCTTAGCGAGGGAGGGGGAAAAAACGCGAGCTAACGGTTTTGAAGCTCCCCCACCCCCACCCCTGGCTTTTCTGCGCGCCCTGAGGGAGCTCTGGGCTCCAGCTTCCTATCACTAGGGCCCCGGGAGTTGGAGCTGGAGTCTGGAGAAGGAGTTTCAGAGGGACAGAAAAGATGTCTTCGCAGCCCCTCCGTGGAAGGCTTGGGTTGGCTATGGGCAGAGCTTTACCCGGGGTCTCAGGTGGGAAATTTGTTTCCTGCCTCTCACTAGGTTCCTGCGTGGAGCTGTTTTCATGGGACTGCCATATAAAAGCAGAACAGTCTCCAGAGACCGAGACAGGGACTTTCCCCCGTAGCCTTTTGATGAAGGTTGCTTAGGGCAGCCAGGAAGGCTGTGAGCACGACCTTTTCTTGCTCCAGCACTGTGACTGCCCGGCGCCTATGGACTATTTACTTCTACCCCCGGCAAAAGCCGAAAGCACCTTTTTGGGAACTGAGATTTCGAAACCAGTCCTGGGCCACGGACTCCATCCACAACGTTCTTTTGATCAATACGATAAGGGAAATACATCATATTGCTTTCTCGGGACAGAATACTTAACCTACTTATTGATCAGTCGCCCATTGTGGTGTGTGTGTACATGAACTCATCACACCGTTGCAAGATGCATAATGTTTATCAGAAAACTTAATTCACTACCAAAATGTGATAAAAGACACTTTGTTTAGCAGTTCGGGGACCAGAACTTGAACCGAGGTCATGTTAGTGCCCTCCACCCCCAGGTGTAAGCCTGGCTTCAGCTTCCTGGGCAAAGGCTGAGACCAAGTTTCCCGACGTGAATGTGGACGCAGCGGTGAAGAACTGAATTTGAGAGCGCATCCTCTGCTTTGTATCCTCCATCCTTACAACAGCGTCGTCTCCTGGAGCTCTGGACACTCCATTAATTAGCACTTGCATCCCCACTCTCTGCATCTGAATAAGTTCAGACCCCTCCCTCCCCACCTCAGGTCGCTGAAAAATAGGTCCCCAGCAGCACCGTTTCATCCATCCTATACATTTCGGCATGTTCAAGAGGCTTACAGAATATTGTTGAGGTTTTTGAGATTGAATAATGGCTTTTCATATTTCCTAGAGGGGACCACATAACTCATTTCTAAAATACTTAGATTAGCAAAGCTACTTCCCGCACAGAGCTAGAGTAATATGGCGATGTTTTAATGCCTAACAACTTTTAGACTGATGAAAAGATAGAGCGTCCTCTCCCTCTATTGTGCTCCGACCACCCGAGAACAAAGCAACTGCAGAAGTAACTCCTCTTTTGCTTTATGAATGTCCTATGCTTTTATATTTGAAATCTCTAAAGGGAAATTTTATTCTATTAAATAAAGTAAATGCCGAGACATGTTGGATGCTGTGAAGTCCATTAAACTGGATTTTAAAATCATGACCGTCCATCTTTACAGTTGTAACTTGTAAGAGGGTTTTTTAAAAAAATTACTTTCAGTTAGTGTTCTGTTAAAAAATATTCGGCTTATCAAAGTAGTATATTTTGTATATTGACTCCATTTTAGAATCCAAAATATGACACTTTTACTTCAAAACCACCTCAATCTCTGTTTTTCTTAAATAAGTGTTTCAATTTTGTTGCCATCAAAAATAAATTTATTTAGTAATTTGTGGTTAAAGGTGTCAGAGGATGAGGTCTTTTTGCACTTAGGGAATGTAAATTTTACTGCAAAATTAAAAGGATTAATCTTTTCTTTCTATATTCTTTTATACTATCATGGAAAATAAATTATTGAAAACCACTTGCCTGCCACCCAGCCATTCCAATCCTTGTTAGGTCAGGCATCAGAACCATGTCCTTCAATAAACCTTGAGGCATTTTATTCTTTTTGGAGTGAGGGCAGAGAGCTTATGAAGTAGGAGGGAACGTTCACATAAAACATCTTTGATCATGTGGTAGATGATGAATAAAGTATGTATGAATTTGCAAATGATAACTGTATTGAAATCTGTTGTTGAAAAGTGTAAATTAAAATGACCAAGTAGTAGATGCTAGAAAATTGTCTTGGAAATTTAATATTTCTACTTCCTTAAAAAAAATTTAAAAATTAAAAAATTTTTTTTAGGTAAATGTGCTCCTAAAAAGATTGTATACTCTTTTACTAAAAAGTTTTGTGGAAATTAAGTACCATTTGTGGGAGTTGCTCATTTATTATTTTAAAACTTTCTACATTTATTATTCTGCAAATTCTGAAATAGTTATGACCTTTATATGTAATTTATACATTTGTCTCGCTGTTTTTCATTGCCTAAAGATTGATATTTGCACTTTAATGCTTAAACATTTTGTAATTTTACATTTCTTACACTCAGGGAGAAAAAGTCCACATTACACTTAGTGTATTTATGATATAATTTTGGGAAGTGTATTATTTAACCATTTGCTTCATTTTGTGATTAAAAATCCATTAGTGGTAAGCATTTTTAAGGTGGCATTTTCTTTTAAAACTTTAGAGCTAAAATATGTTTTCAGATTGCTACTTCTGAACTCTGTCCTTCAACTATTTGACTTAATGTCGAGAAAAAGGGAAGATTGGACATTAAGGGAAATTCACACTGAAATTTCAGGCTTAATCTTCAAAAAAAAAAAAAGTTGTCCTTATTTTGTTTTAAAGCAGAAATACTAGGCACCAAGGTGGACGGGACATGGGTAAAGGATGAAAACAACTGAATCATCAAGAGAGTATGTCTAGTTTTCCAGTTGGTCTACCTTTTCTAGTGTAAAGACTTAAGACATTCAATAACTTTTAGTACAGTTCTCCTTAGCAAGTGATAAGTTGTGTATGGGTTCTAAAGGAGGGAAAATCACAGAAAAATGTTGTCCTGTTTTGAAAGTGTTTTAATTAGACAAAAGCATCAGGACAAACCATTTTAAAAACAAAGTCTTCAACTTGGGTGTTGAGATTGGCAAAAGGGGAAGCAAGGGAAAAGCCAAGGAAAGATAAAATATTCAGAAGAAAGTCAAAGTTATCTGCAATTACATGTTAGAACAGATTTTGCAGGTTAAAAAGATGTTGCTTAAATATATTCATAAGCCTGTTGTAAGATTTTCACTTATGCAGTTTCAGAAAATTTAGCTGCTTAACATATGACAGAACTGTATTTTAACAAATGACATTAAAAGTCAGGAGAGCTACTCAGTTAATTGATAAAGTAGAGGCAACGTGGGGGAGCCCTCCCCACGTTTATTGAAGATTTGTGGCTCCCCCAGCCCCGTTTGCCTGCATCAGGCTAACAACCTCATTCCTCCCATAGAGCCTGGCCAAATCACAGGCGGTGTCCCCCTTATGGTTCCGATGCCCCACATTGCTGGCCGTGTGCTTCACCAGGAACTCCACCACCCGGAGGTGGCCTTCTTTGGCAGCCAAGTGCAAGGGCAGGTTCCCTTCATTATCCTCGATGTTAACATCAGCTTGAAACTCCAGCAAAGTCTGTAAAGTGTCCAGGAAACCTGCTCTGGCCGCATCATGAATGACAGCGAAACCAGTTCGGTCTTTCAAATCGGGATTAGCACCTCTAAGTAGCAGTCTCCTGGCAATCTCGGGATTTCCAAGTTTCATAACCTGGAAAAGAAGTAGAAATGGTAGAATCCTTCAAGTGCATATGCTACAGAGATATTTTAAAATATCTGCCTGTCCTTCCATTTATGTAACTATTTATTTTTGATGGAGTTCTTGCGGAAGACCCATAGGATGGGGCTTGAAGGGGTCAAATGCAGAAAAGTGCTAGTAGGTGAAAGTAGAAGACAACTTCTAAAAATTGAGCTTCTATGATGGAACGTCTTAAATGGGCCCAAAAGTAGGATAAATTGATCAATAAGATAGAATTTGTGCAACATGTATAGCATTTGCTAACAATTCTGTTCTCTATGTTCCATGAAGAGTTGTGTAATTTCACGAATTTATTAAAATAACAGAAATGGAATTTGGGATTTAAATAAGAGTCTCCTTCTGTTTGATTGTTCATGCTCATAAAATGTGCCTGTGGTATTAATTCTAGAAAATCATATGTGGTTAAACTTTATTTTCTAAATAGCTACTGCAAACAAATAAGGATGTTGAGTTTCTCTAAACCAACTCCATGAGTGAGTGTAAAAATGATGTTTTAAAAATCCAGGCCTGATATTTTCTTAAATGATCAATTTTTACAAGTTCCCTCCAAATAGATATAGCTCCAAATTTCCAAGCATTTCTTAAAAATATTTTTTATTTGCAAGTTATTTAATATTGGCTACTAGGTGTATTCAATGTTTAGAATCCTTCATTTTAAGTTACAAAACAGTACTGATTATTAAGGTGTTAAATAAGCCACAGTGTTCTAAATTGCTTATGATATCAATTTATATAAAACTAAGTTCCTGATATGCCTTGTATCACAGTAGGAAATTATTGTAGGACAACTGTTCTTGAAAATAATGAAATAGTCACCCTATTACATTATATACTGTTTCTCAAAGTTCTGACAAGCCTCCTGATTTTCAAATGAGCAAAAGAAGAAAAAATAAGATATTTAATGGGTGTTTTGGGACACGGACAGCCTTGTCTTGTGGTTTGAGCTCATTTAATAATCAACTGGTGATCCTGTGTTAGTTCCTTTTTCAGTTATTATCAAGCATTTAAGGAACAGCTATTTGTAAACTGCCAACATTTTAAAAGTCAGAATGTGGTATTAACACTTGCTATCAACATACAAATAATTCACATAACAAAGATTATCTACTATTGTTTGAATATATTTCACTCTAACAGTGGTCTCTTATAAAGTATCTTGTAGAACAGCATGCAAATATAAAATACATATAATTTAGTTGTGAAAAAATATTACTTTCATTAACATGCCACACATTTTCAGAATTTACACTGGTTTATTTATATCTAGGTATATCCATAATAATCTAAATTTATAATAAATATCTTGTATAATAGACACTCAATGTTTATGAAATTAAATGCTAATGGAAAATACAAAGTCGTTCTATCTTTTTTAAATGTTTGTTTAAAAAAATCTAATCACACATTAAATAACAAAATATATTTAAAATGAGTAATATTTTGTAAATGCAAACTACATAGATGGACAAGATATTAAGCTCCCCTGTTGATAAAACTGTTGATTTTTAGCTCTTCCTTTGGAGCAGTGGTAAACAGTGATACATAATTTATATTTCAAGAACTTCAATGAAACATACTTTTTGGTTATTAAAAATTGATACGACCACAACTGTCCCTAAAGATTTAGTCATATTTAAGGACCTGGAATGAGAAAAATAAGAGACAGATACCTTGGATCTTCGTAAAGCAAACATACGATTAAGGCCTTTGATATTAACCTGATAGAAAAATGTACACTAGGAAGGTGGAAAAGGCTTTTGAAATTGAGTTAAATAAACATAATTGTAGAAGAAAATTCACCTTTTTTCACAGAAAATAATAGCAATATTGGAAACGGTTTTGAAGAAAGTTATTTCTTGACTTATGACACAACTTCAGAGTCAGGATTATACATATTGAAAATAAGCCTTGAAACTCCAGTTTCTGTGTGTGTGTTTCGTTATATGTACAAGGACTAAGCCACAATAAGTGGGTGTTAGTATCTTGATAAGTATGTTTAATATAAACAAGATTGCAAAGTTGTATTAAAAATGTTTGTCAAAACTTTTTAAAAGAATATTATTAATTTCCCAGTCTTCCTGTTCGTCAAAAATCCTGTAAAATCTTATCATGAACATGGGTTAAGTAGTTCATTCTTTGTGAAGTTTATATAATCTTTTGAGTTTTCAAAAGGAAACTTTTCAATATATTAAATTTGTTACTTTGCTATCATCACTAAACCTGTTCAAAACTACTAGGTAGAAAAAGGAAAAAAAATCATTACTTAATGTAGCAGCAATAACAAGATAAATAATTTAGTATCTGTGCATAAACTTCCTTAATACTGAAATTTTTGCAAGGCCAGTGTATTCTGACTGAAAATGTACAGACTGTATGGACTTTGTTTGTTAATAGTATATCTCTTGGCACTTAAATTTTTAATTCTTGTAACCGAAACAAAGCCCTCTAAAAACCCTCTCCCCACTGGGTTTTCAAAAACAGCTTCAAGTGTTGCATTTCCAAATAAGAATAGCTCATAAGAATATCATCAGAACTCTGATAAAGCAACTATTTTAAACTATTTTGTCATTTTTCTGTTTCTAAGCCTTTCACCTAAGTTACATGATAACATTCAGAAGAGGAAAAAAATTATCAGGTACAATACTTGGCAGCTGGACATGTGTCAATTGTTGCCTGTAAATCTAATTACTGAAAATTAGAGCACACCACGGCATGACCGTAGAGACAAAGACACTGCAGCTGAGCTCTGATTAGAAAATTCAACTTTTTATTCCTCCCGACTCCTGAATGAGTGGATGGTATTACATTAACTGTAAAATGTACATCCTGTCCCGGTGCCCAGGCCACCCATTCCAAACGAGGAAAGGTCGTTTGTCAAAACTTGAAGCATTTGAAGGAAAAACACCCTCATCAGTAGTCAAGAAAATTAACGTTAAAGTCTATTATTGGGGGCAAAGTACGTAAAACCACTAATAGCAGTGTATTTACTTCAAATAATAATCATAATAATGTGTTTACAGAGCTGTCTTTAAAAACAAAACAAAACAAACAAACCTCGGCCCTACACTGACTACTTTAAAATCCCCACCGTCACAAAAACATTCCAAAAACTAAGACCAAATCTGGACCCCACTTGATATCAAGGATGTTATTGGATTTGAGGAGTTTGTTCAAAGTACGTCATTTTGAGAAGTTGCATCCACTTAAAGATATAAAATATGGCAACCAACTAGGTTTAAAAACAGTGAAATTTTATGTCCCTGAAAGCTTAAAAGCTGTAAATCTAGAAACCCGGGTCACGTAGGCAACATTATTGACTTGTTTTCCCCACCTCTCTTAATACCAACCTGCAGCGCAGTCCTTCCAAATCCATTTTGTGCATTGACGTTTACATTATTTTGCAACAAACTAGTAAGTTGCTCTAGGTCCCCCCTGGCAGCTGCGGACGCCAACTCGTTCCCCCAAGGCTCGGCCATTCTTTAGGGTCCTGACGATCAGGAAAAGATGAATTAGTCGTTTTTCTTTTTCCCCTTTCCTTTGCTCCTAACCAGGCTGCATGATGGCATCGGAGACTGACAGAAGGACTGGGATGGTTAATCTGGAGTAGAGCTTGGTAGTAAATACTAGTAAGATCTGCCTGCCAAAAGCCCGCCCCTCGATTCACACGTGATTATTCAGCAAAACTGAGCCATTGGAGAGGGGCTCCTCGCCTCGCTTTTTTAGCTTAACCCCTATGAAGAATTCTGACGACTCCACAGAGAGACACACAGACACACATACATTCCTGGTTAATGACTCCGGACGTCAGATGTAGGCAGAGCTGTCACGTACCTACGCTACAGATCTCTGTGAGGAGTGTGTGTGGAGACTCAAGGGACTATAGATCGGGGCAGAAAATACCGCGGAAGGAAAGACATTCAGGGGGAAGAAAAGGCATTCACCCACCCTTGTTCACGGTGGTGACTTGAGCCGTGTGAGGCAGAACTGCAGGGGCAGGTCCTCCAGGGGGCTCGGTTTCCATCCGTCTCGCCGAAGGGATAGTCCTGGGTCCTCCGCTGCTGGGAGAGCGCCGCGGTGGCTGGATGCTGACGTGCTCCGGAGGGTTAAAAGATGATCGCCAAAGGCGAACGGGAGTAGCAGTTCGGTGGCCCTCAAGTTACAGGTCGTAACGATTGCCCAGTGCTCTGGGCTTCTCCAGAAGAGCCTTTGGTCGCGTCCGGGCCAAGCCGTGGGCTAATGCCGCTCAGGAAAGCTCCGGAGCCCGCCCGCCAGGCAGCCGCAGCCCCGCCGAGCCTCAGAGGCCGTGGGAGCCGGGCTCGGCGCGCGTCTCCGGAGGCTGCCGGGCGTGCGGCGGGCCCCCGAGAAGCCCGTCATGCCGGCCCCGCCAGGTCCCGGGACTCCCGGCAGCCCGAGGAAGGAGAGTGATGCGGAAAGCGTCTACGGAGCCCGGACTGCTGGGGCAGCTCGCGGCAGCATTGCGGCTGCACTGGGCAGCCCCCCCGGGAACTTCCCGCCTACGACCGAGCTCGTTCAGGCTTTCTGCTGTAGGCACTCATTGAGCTGCTGCCGCCGCTGTCCTTTCCTTCCTTTCCCGGTTTTGTGGGGGCCTCTGGAGATGGGGAGAGTCCTGGGAAACGTAGGCCAAGTTCTGAGTAGGGAGAGTCGCCGCAGTTCCGGGGCAGCCAGTCCGGTCGCCGTCTCGGCGAGCGCTCAGCAGCCTCGGCGCCCGGTGCCACTTTGCCACCTCTCGCGGTCCCCGGCCTGTGCCCCTTTGCTGCGGACAGGGCAGCCGCCAGCCAGCTGTGCCCTGGAGCAGAGCCTGGCAGCACTGCTTCCTCCTTGGCCGCACCGCTCCCAGTGACAGTTTCTTTTGTAGCTGATCCCCCCCTAGATCGCCGGTCCCTGCTCCTTTCACCCCTACAGGCACTTGCGTGTCGCCCCCTTTTTTGCTTTTTTCCTTCACTCCCTCCCTTGCTGCTTTTTTCGCTGAAACAATTGCTGCTTCTGTTGCCTCTCAGAGAGGGTGCCGGTTTCTTCTCCCTTTTTTCCGACCTCATCAGCTTTTTTTGAAAAGAAAAAAATTGAGCGCTTTTTGAGTTGAAAAACCCGCCCCCATTTTAACGGCAGAGTTTTAAGGAGGCTCGGCAGAGTTGCAGCGCCGCGGGAGCGGGAAGGCCGGGCGCCGCCCACGCCCCGCCCTCCGCCCTGCTGGCGCTCGCGCTCGCAGTCTCGCACGCTCCGCCCGCCCGGTCCCGCGCCCTCATTCCCGCCTCCCGCTCTCCACCTCCTCCCGTCAAGTCTCTCGCGCCGGCTCCCTCCTGCCGGCTAGGCGGCCTGTCCCCAGCTGGAGCGGGGTTCGGCCCCGCGAAGTCCGGCCTGCCCTTCTGCTGGCGGGCTTGAGTCTGTGACGCGAACCCCCAGCTGCCCCAATTCCTACGGGGGCGAGGACAGGGGTTTGTTATTTAAGACGGTTGTGGAGGGCCGCAGGGTCTTTGAGGCTCCGCAGCGTACGCTGCGGGAAGGCGGACAGCGAGCTGGCATAAAGGGAGTCGTTCCTCAGCGCTAGCGGGGCAGGTCGGCCCGCCTCTGTGCTCCCCCGCCAGGCTCGCAAAGTTCGGGCGGCCAGGCTGCGGCTGCTGCTGCCTCCTCTAGGCGCGCGCGCTCTGTAAACTCGGCGTCCTTCGCTGAGCCCTGGCCTCGGCCTCGCACCTGCCAGATCCATGCCCGACGGCGCGGTGGGCAGGGGTGGCCGCGGGGGTGGAGGGAAAAATCCGGACTGCCACTAAGCACAGTGCTCACAAAAAGCAAGTCTTGTGTAGACTGAATTTTATGAAAACTTAAGACATGGCATATGTAAGAACGAACTCTGAAGCCTTAATTAATCAAGGACTGGAAACTGCGAAATAGTCCTATTATTAGAGAAAAAGGAGAAAAGCAATTAAATTTAAAGCAAAATTTAAAATAAGTCGTGTGAAGTGTTTTCTAACAAAGCCATTTCTTGGTTGCCGAAGTTCTCTCACTACTTAGAAGTGGCTTGGATTTTGGGGATGTGGGGTTGGGGAGGGTGTCTAGAATGGTCTCTCTCCTAATCCTTTATTTAATCATCCGACACCAATTTCCAGTACTTTTAACTTCCTCTTTTAGCTATGTGAGATTAATTAACTATTGCTTTCTGTATTTTTATACTCTTAAAAATATCCAACACGGTTGCATGATGCACCCAGTGGTCAAAATGAAACCAAGCAAAAAATGACAAGTCTAATTAGAACCGGCCTTTGGCAAGCGGATCCTCAAGCAGTATCTGTACCCTTCTTGAAGTACACTGGGAGTATTAGCAACAAAACACACCAGAAATATCTGGGTAATCATCCAGCAAGAGATTGGTAGGTAGAGGGAAAGTTGAAACTGGGAAGAATCTGGCAGTGTTTTCTTTAATGTAATTGTTGAGAAAAAAACTAGAGTTCTTTTCTTAGGTAACTAAACTTGAATTGTGAATCAAATGAGAACTACAAAACAAGAAATTAACTCTCTTTTTCTTACATATATGTAGACGTTTCAAATAGAAACATTTAAGATTCCATTTATACCAGTAAGAAATAAATAATAATTTACTTTTGATTATTCTGGGAACTGTGTAATCTTTTCATACAGCCAGAGGGTGTGAGGACATATTAGCACTGTTGGCTGATAAAAGAGAACTGGTATTAGTCCAATTTATGAGGATTGCCTTCTAGCATTTATTATGGTTTCTTGCTTAGAGATAAATTGTAAAGAGGAAGAATCTTAAATTGTATGATTACATAAAGTACGGGTAAACGTACTATAATTTTCATGAAATAAAATGCTTATTGCTGAACAACTAAGGAAAACTTATGATAATTTAAGATGTACACAGAGTTGTATTAAGATTTTTGGAGGCCCTAAGCACTGAAAAGATTTTGATGTTCTACCACCTCTTCCTTATATAGAAATAAAAAGAAAAATAACAGAACCCCAAAATAACAGTAAAAAAGTCCAACAAAGTTCTGATTTTTTTCCCATGATGGCTACTTCAGTGGTTTTGCTGAGATATTAAATTATTTGGCAAAGGTTTTTTTTTTTTTTTTAACATTCTGGTTTTGCTGGTGCCCTGAAGCATATGCTTCATCTGCCTGTTGGGTAAACCAGAATTGGCAGTGCAGAGCTTAGGGTCTTAGTTCAGAAGGCATACATAAGTATTACACAGTAACTCCAATGAAAATCTAGTATTTATTGAGGGCTAGTTCACTACAGCAGATTCAAGGGTATCTCTACCCTCAATAAGCTTATATTCTAACATGGCTTACAAGAAAAATTCATAGTTAAGTTTCTACTATATTGAGAGTGGTGCTTTCCTTTTTAACATCAAAATGATAAGTACATCAAATACTGAAATATAGCCTTTATAGTTAGATATTAAATATTAACAGTCATGGAAACCTTTTGCTCCAGCAGTTCATAATCATTTAAGGAGACATAGAAGTGGCCGGGCGCAGTGGCTCACGCCTATAATCCCAGCATTTTGGGAGGCTGAGGTGGGCAGATCACCTGAGGTCAGGAGTTCGAGACCAGCCTGGCCAACATGGTTAAACCCCAACTCCACTAAAAATACAAAAAAAAATTAGCTGGGCGTGGTGGCTGGCGCCTGTAATCCCAGCTGCTCAGGAGGCTGAGGCAGGAGGATTGCTTGAACCTGGGAGGCAGTGGCGGCCCAGCAGTCTCAAAAAAAAAAAAAAAAAGAGACATAGAATAGAAATGTGATTCAGTCAAATTATTCTGTGCTTTTCCCTCATTGACATAGAATAGAAATGTGATTCAGTCAAATTATTCTGTGCTTTTCCCTCATTGACTCAAGTAGGTACAGTTTCTGAATGATTAACTTTTGGAAATGTGTATGTGGTATTTACCATTTATTTAACTGGTCTCAAAGTTTTCCTTTTTGTTGTATTTATAGATCAACAGAGGTGGAAAACAGACTGGGCACCCCCAGGCAGCCTTTTATGTGACTTTATAATTGTAGCTTCAGCATTTTATTTCTGAGATTCAGTGGTTTTTTTCATATAGGTACTTATTTATGAAAATTTTTTATTATTTTTATTTTATTTTATTTTTGAGACAGGTTCTCACTCTGTTGCCCAGGCTAGAGTGCAGTGGCTTGGTCATGATCATGGCTCACTGAAGCCTTGACTTCCCAGGTCCAAGTGACCCTCCTACCTCAGCCTCTGGAGTCGCTGGGACCACAGGCATGCTCCACCATGCCTGGATAATTTTTCTAATTTTGTGGAGATGGGGTCTTACTATATTGGCCAGGCTGAAAGTTCTTTTTTTTTTGAGACAGAGTCTCTCTCTGTCATCAGGCTGGAGTGCAGTGGCGCGATCCCGGCTCACTGCAACCTCCACCTCCAAATTCAAGCCATTCTCCTGCCTCAGCCTCCTGAGTAGCTGGGATTACAGGCGCCCACTACCACACCCAGCTAATTTTTGTATTTTTAGTAGAGATGGGGTTTCACCACGTTGGCCAGGATGGTCTCCATCTCCTGACCTCATGATCTGCCCGACTCAGCCTCCCACAGTGCTAGGATTACAGGTGTGAGCCACCGCACCCGGCCTGAAAGTTCTTCGTTAAAGTAAGAAGGAAAAAAAGCCCAGTAAGCAACCCAAAAGCTGAAAAATAATAGCAACAATTAATATTTGTATAGTGTTTCATGGTTATAAAATATGATGCATATCTATCTATCTATCTATCTATCTATCTATCTATCTATCTATATTTTTGAGACTGAATCTCGCTTTGTCGCCCAGGCAGAGTGCAGTGGCGCGATCTCAGCTCACTCCAATCTCTGCCTCCTAGGTTCAAGCAATTCTTCTGCCTCAGCCCCCGAGTACCTGGGATTACAGGTGCGCACCACCACGCCCGGCTAATTTTTGTATCTTTAGTAGAGACAGGGTTTCACCATGTTGGTCAGGCTGGTCTCGAACTCCTGACCTCATGATCCGCCCACCTTGGCCTCCCAAAGTGCTGGGATTACAGGTGTGAGCCACCACACACAGCCAATGCATATATTAATCTTTACAACAATTCTGTGAAGTGACTGTGATAATAATCCCCGTATTTCAGGTGAGGGAATTGAGGCTGGCAGAAATTGTGATTTAAAGTCAGTGAATACTAGACATAGGATTTGAATTCAGTTCTTGGGGCTCCAAACCTTATACTTTTTCCATTAGTCCAGGGTCCGCCACTAGTATCCTAAACAACACTAAATCACTAGATGAAATACATATGTGCAGTAGCATTAGTTTTCTCATGAATTACATTATGAGCAAGAAGTATTATTTAAGAAATTGGTTATCTTAACCAAAGAATCAAGGTTATCACTACCAGTAATAACTCAAGTTGATAACACATGGCCTTGATATGATGTAACAAGGACATATCACCTCTGCGGTGATACACATCTCAGTGTAATTCTGAGAATACATTAGGTAATCCCAGATTGAGGGAGATTTTATAAAGTTCCTGACTCTTCAGAAGTGTCCACTGAGAAACTGTCACAGATTGGAAGAGGCTACTGAGACATGACAACTAAATGTAATGTGGTATTATTGGACCATGGAACAAGAAAAGGACATTAGTGTAAAAATCCAAATAGAGCCTCCAGAATTTAACTAGTAGTATTTAGCAGTGTTAATTTCCTAGTTTTGATAGATGTACCATGTTAAATAAGATGGTAACATTAGAGAAAAATGGGCTAAAAGCATATAGGAACATTCTGTACTGTCTTTGGAAGTATTCTAAAATAATTTCAAATAAAAATTTAGTAAAATATAAATAATATTTATTATTTATATTGGAAATAAAGATGATATAAAAGTTTCTTTTAAAAGAACATGGAGATTCTAGAAAAAGATCTGTATTTAACTTAGGCTGAGCTCCATGAACTACTGTGGGCCAACTATGAGAATAGATAAATTAAAATTACTTTTCTTTGCTCGTGCATGGACCAAATTTCTTTACATTTCCTTCTTTTGGTTTATGACACTTAACTGAAATTGTTTCTCTTAAGGATGGAATTCTGGAGAAATGAAAAATGATTTTTTTTCTCCTAATTCAGTATTTATTTTTCTTCCCTTCTCTTATCTGTAGTAGATAACCACTCTGGATGCTAGGTATCCAACCATGAAGAGTTAGGCCATAGGGAAGAAACAGTGTCTTTGGGAATGGTATAAACTAAGCAGCATGGAAGGGAAATTGTACAGAGGCAACATGGTAAGTGGAAGGAGCACTAATTTGACCTAGTCTTGAATCCTAGGTCTGTCACTCTGTAGCATGACTTTGAGCAAATTCTTAACTTGCCAGAGCAGCTTTATATTCTGTAAAGTAGTAGTTGTAAATATTAAATGAGATAAAGTTTGTAATGTATCTGTACATAGTAGACTCCCAATAAAAATTAATAAATTCAAAAGCATTTGCCATCTGTTATGTTCACAAGACTTTGCTATGTTTGCACTATGGTGAATATAAAAACACATGGCATAAAGCGGTTTATAATCTCAAGAAACTTTCAACCTTTGGGGGGAGATTAAACATACATATATGAAAACAATTAGAGAAAAAAATTACAAAATTTACTGGAGCACTAAGTTGTGTTGTAAAGATAGTAAAAGCAGTAATTAGAAAGGAGAAAGATCCTTACTGGCTTAAATTTTATGAAAGGGGTGGTCCTGAGAAAAGCATTTAGGAATTGGTATACAGAGTAATAACTAATATGTTTGGAGAGTTTTAAGGTTTATGAGGAATTTTCACAAGCATTTGATCATTCAACATTCAAAATCACAAGCTTTTTAGCCCAATTTTAGAGATAAAGAAATAGAACCAGAGAGCCTTTGTTAAAGAGCAGAGTTAGAACTCAAACCACAATTATTGACTATTAAATTTATGTTAGTGTGATACCAATATTTTATATTTTCCATGCATTTTCATAATTGTTTTTTCATTTATCAGAGGAAATAGTCCTGTGAGTAGCTGAAGTCAGAGAGATTAAATGACTCATCCAAGTTCCCTCAGCTAATTATTTGGAAAAGCAGTACTAATATATGCCTGAATGTCTAGTGTGTTCATCCCATTGTTCTACATACCACATTGTTTTAATTTCCAGATGGAGAGAAAGGAAAGAAAAAGGGAGCAACATGGGATTTGAATGGGTTCTGAGGTACACACGCATCATTACAGAGAAAAACTCTCAACTTTTTAGGACTGCATTAATCCTTGGCCATATAACTAGAAACAATTATTCACCTGCCTTATACTGAGGGTGGCCTATATGAATGGGGCAACTGAATTGCCACATTTATATTATTGGTGCTGTGTTTTGCCTCATGATTCACATTTGTGCTGACTTTTGGAATTACTTTCTTTTTAAAAAAATATTTATTTATTTATTTTGAAACAGTTTTACTCTGTCACCCAGGCTGGGGTGCAGTAGTGTGATCTTGGTTCACACTGCAACCTCCACCTCCCAGGTTCAGGTGATTCTCCTCCCTCAGCCTCCCTAGTAGCTGGGACTACAGGCATATGCCACCATGCCCAGCTAATTTTTGTATTATTTTTAGCAGAGATGGGATTTCACTATGTTGGCCAGGCTGGTCTTGAACTCCTGACCTCAAGTGATCTGCCTGCCTCGGCCTCCCAAAGTGTTGGGATTATAGGCATAAGCCACTGCCCTGGCCATGGAATTATTTTCTTACGGCTGAAAATTAAGCAAGACATTTTGATTCATGTGACTGTGGAGGGTTCTATTATCTAGCTAATTCTGGTCTAAACACAGATTAGTACTTAAGAACTGTAGGCCAGCCTATTTTCATTTAAGGAAACACACAGAATAAACTCAGATCATAATACAGTGCACTTCTTTATATTCAGTGAAACTGAACAATTAGGTCATATTTCTGATTTCTCATGAATATATTCCCAGTTTATGGAGCCTAGGCCTTGCTGGGTGTGGTGGTATGGCTCACACCTGTAATCCCCACTCTCAGGAGGCTGAGGTGGGAGGATGGCTTGAGCACAGGAGTTGGAAGCCAGCCTGGGCAACATAGTGAGGCCCTGTCTCTAAAAAAGTAAATAAATGATACAAGTTTAAAAAGTTCTTAAGGGAAGCCTAGGCCTTCATGCTACATGATGATTTCACTAGTTATTTTAGCTCTACAGGATAAAATCAGCAATCTTACTTCACATTTTCAAGCTTTTACATACTTTCCAAAGCAAGTAAATGCCCCATGACAATCCAGAAGCTGATATTTTCCCAAGTCAAGGATGAACAACTTCCACTGTCACACTTTCTCTAACCTGGACGACAATTACAAACTGTCACACTTCATTGTACATAGTCTTTGGCTGTTTTAGTTACAGAGGTTGTCAATTTCTGACCATGGGTTGAAACTTTCAATATTTGGTGAATATTCCAAAATAATTTCTTATGAAAATGAATAGGCCGGGTGCAGTGGCTCACGCCTGTAATCCCAACACTTTGGGAGGCCGAGGAGGGCGGATCACGAGGACAGGAGTTCGAGATCAGCTTGCCCAACATAGTGAAACCCCGTCTCTACTAAAAATACAAAAAAAACTTAGCCGGGCTTGGTGGCGGGAGCCTGTAATCCCAGCTACTATGGAGGCTGAGGCAGGAGAATCGCTTGAACCCAGAAAGCGGAGGTCGCAGCGAGCCGAGATCGCGCCACTGCACTCCAGCCCGGGCCACAGTGCGAGACTCCGTCTCAAAATAATAAATAAATAAATAAATAAATAAATAAATAAAAATAGACTGACTATATTCAAAGCTGGATTCAAGTTTTATCCCATTTGTAAGATGTCTCAGCTTAAAAAAACAAATATAACTGCAGCAGTAGAAAGGTTTTCCCTTTTTTCCCCCTTTGGAGCAACCCTATTAACTCGAGGTTGTTATTTCTCATAACTACCTTATCAATTAAAAAAAATGCTCCTCCTCTTCTCTGGAACGAGATTTTTACCTTTCTCAGCTTCCTCGTCTCTCCCATGTCTACCATGGCAGTCTGGTTACTTCTGTGTTACGGAGTCTGAGGATGCAGACGTCAGGGAGCTTGGGACTGGGTGTGACAGTGTGGATTCGGTTTTGACAGGTTGAGCGTGAGAGACTATATGAAGCTGTATTTTGCTGAAACATTGTAGAGAAAAACATATATTTCTGAAATGCTGTTTGTTAGACGAGTTGTAACAGTGTGTTTAGTTGGTTTGTGAGGGTGGTGTGTATTTGTGTGACTAACCACGTGAGGTGCACAATCTGGTCCCCGCCTCAGCTAGGGGGAGGCGCTATCCTGAGGCCTTTGCTTAAATCCAAACTGGAATAACCTGTTGCGAGACTTGAAGCTTCCGCAGCTGCAGGTTGCAGTCTCTGCCGCCAGCGCAGAGATCCTGGCCGGGTAGTCGCGCGCTCAGCGCTTGACAGGAGGGTGGTCACGTGGAGCCGCAAAGCGGCGCTTTGCGACCTCGATGACAGGCAAAATGTGCGACAGCCGTGGCGCTGGCCAACCAGGGGCGGAGGCGGCGGCCAGGGAGGAAGCGGAGGAGGCGGAGGCGGCCGCGGCGTTCGCCCGCCCGCTCGCTCGCTCGGTTTCCCCGCCCCCGCCGGGCTTAACGCCGCTGAAGGTATCCGGGTGCGCGCTGTCGCAACCTGCCCTCATCCTGGCCCGCGACTGTAAGACCGGACCCACATCCAGACCAATCTTCCTGTCCGGGCTGCTGCGACGCGGGCTCCGCAGGTTGCAGGCGGGCGGCCGGGGCGCCTGAAGGTTACCGAGTGCATGAGCGCCTAGCGCTTCCCGCGCTGCCCCGCCCGCTGGCCCGCCGACCCGCCCGCCGGCTCGCCCGCCAGCCCCTCGGCGCCCGGCGGCGGCGGCGGCGGTGGCGGCGACGGTCGCAGGAGGTGCCGTCTGCCTCCCAGGTGCGCGCTTCGCTCCCGGAGCCGCGGAACTCGGCGGCCGCCATGGCGTCCAACATGGACCGGGAGATGATCCTGGCGGATTTTCAGGTGAAGTATCTGGCCCTCTTCCCCTCCCACTTCCAACCTCGTGGGTTTCCGGTGCCACAAGGGAGTCTTCTTCCCAGCGTTTGAACGCTGCAGTGGTGTGTCATTTAGGCTTTTATACGGTGCGTGGCGTGTGTGTGTGTGTGTGGCGAGCTATGGAGAAGCGTATAATTTATATGCTATCATGAGTGTGTAGAATGTGTTAAGTACGGGTTGAATGGGATTGGAGGTATTAATGACTTGGGTTACAATGTGTGTGGAATGTGTAGTGTTTCCTGTATTATATGGGGGGACGTGTAGAGTTTTTGTTTTAATTGGTGTTGGACCATTAAGTATGGGATGTTTTGGGTGGTTCTGTGGGGAGAGATGTATGGAGTGTGAGCGTGGAGCGTGTGGTGTTATGGGCGTGGTGTATTTATATTGTATTAAGGGAAGAGTAAAAAAGCAGAATGATGAGATGGCGAGGGCAATGACAATGGGGTACTGAGGTCCTTTTCAAAGAGGAGTAAACATTTGAGACTTTGCCTAATTGGAATCTTTGGAGGGTAAGAAGATAACAAGGAGACAGATAAGACTATATATTCCAGAGTATCTCTGCAATGAATTCACAAGCTTAATAAATTACCTATTCATATTTGCGGATTCCCCTCCCCTACAGACTTGAATTGCTTGGTTGGTGTCCTTTCTCCAGGAATACTTTAAAGGATAAGTAAAGGCTGTTCTCTTAATAAACCCAGTCGTAGTGCCACTGACATGTAAGTATCTTAGGAAGGCCCTTTGAAAGTAGAACTGTATGCATTGTGAAAGACTTGGAGCTAGAACTAATATCCTGTGAGTGCTACCTTTGCCTTTTGATGTTTGGTGAAGGAATTATTTTAGTGAGATATTTTTGGCCATTTTGGCATCAACTTAGAAGCTACTGTCAAGTATAGGCAGACTTTTCCCTCTTTTTTAATACTCACATTGCACAGGTTCTAACACTAGCTTAGTAGGCAGTATTTTTCCTTGCTGAAATTTTGTTGGGCTTTTCTCTCTCTCTGTTCTATTAAGTTCCTTATTTTTTTTAAAATTAATTAATTTTTTTTTTTTTTTGAGACGGAGTCTCGCTCTGTCGCCCAGGCTGGAGTGCAGTGGCGCGATCTCGGCTCATTGCAAGCTCCGCCTCCCAGGTTCACGCCATTCTCCTGCCTCAGCCTCCCGAGTAGCTGGGACTACAGGCGCCGGCCACCACGCCTGGCTAATATTTTTGTATTTTTAGTAGAGACAGGGTTTCGCCGTGTTAGTCAGGATGGTCTTGATCTCCTGACCTCGTGATCCACCCTCCTCGGCCTCCCAAAGTGCTGGGATTACAGGCGTGAGCCACACTGCTCCCGGCCCTTATTTTTACAAATTAACGTTCAGATAACCATTTTCAGAGTTTGCTGTTTTGGTTACCCAGTGAAATCTGATATACAGGTATTAGGAATATGCATATATCTACAGTTTGATTAAACCATAACCTCCAAACTAATAAAGGAGTGTCCTTATAATAAAAGTTGACCATAAGATTTTGATGTTTTGTAGGTTTAGGATTGGCCTGAGGCTTTTTGCCTGCCTACATTTTAAAAAATTTTTCAATTAATTAATTAATTAAATTTTTTAGAGATGGGCCTTGCCATGTTGCCCAGGCTGGTCTTGAACTCCTGGGCTCAAGTGATCTACCCACCTCAGGCTCCGAAAGTGTTGGGAATACAGGTGTAAGCTCCAACACCCAGCCCTGCCTAAGTTTTTCATCATCGTCTTTTTGTTTTGTTTTTGTTCTCCAGTTCCATTTTTTATCTAATGTGGAATGCACTGTTTGAAAAAGGACTCTATATTTCAAGGTGTAGTTTTACCGTGTTACAAAATTGTCTTCTGATTTCCCTCATTAAAAACTTTATAAAGTAATTATAACTTTGTTTTAATTTTACCTTTTTATCTCTAATAACTTGCATCTGCTTTCTATTTTTTGTGTGTGACAATTATTATGCTTAACTGTTAACCTTATATTGGCTAAAGGACAGGAAATTTAGGCTTCTTGTACTCAGGCAAAGCAAGATTTTCCAGGGATTTTGGTTTGGAAATGAAAATGAAAATTTCGGCCGGGCATGGTGGCTCAGGCCTGTAATCCCAGTACTTTGGGAGGCTGAGGGGGCGGATCACGAGGTCAGGAGATCAAGACCATCCTGGTGAACATGGCGAAACCCGGTCTCTACTAAAAAAATACAAAAAATTAGCCGGTCGAGGTGGCGGGCGCCTGTAGTCCCAGCTACTCGGGAGGCTGAGGCAGGAGAATGGCGTGAACCTGGGAGGCGGAGCTTGCAGCGAGCTGAGATTGCGCCACTGTACTCTAGCCTGGGCGACAGAGCGAGACTCTGTCTCAAAAAAAAAAAAAAAAAAAAAAGAAAATGAAAATTTCGATCCCATTAATAAGATGGGAATAAGTTTTTCTCTTCAGACCAATGGTAATGCTATACACAATTGTTTAAAAATGGGAAAAATAGAATGGCATCTGCAGTGAACAATTGTTTGCCTAATAATGTTAATTTTATATTGTCAAATAGGTAAAAGAATGTTATTGATAGAAGAAAAAATTATTTGGAAAACTACACACCTTAAACACATTAGCCATTTGTGTGTTTAGGAACCTGGAGTTCTCTTACAAATGATCGTCTTAGTAAAAAGTGATGATTCTTCCTGTTTTTTATATTATCTCAATTTTTATAGGATTGACTTAAAAGTAAGCATTTATTCAGTTATAAGAAAACCAGGTAATTTATTTATTTACTTATTTATTTTTTCTGAGATGGAGTTTCACTCTTGTTGCCCAGGCTGGAGTGCAATGGCATGATCTCGCCTCACTGCAACCTCCGCCTCTCGGGTTCAAGTGATTCTCCTGCCTCAGCCTACTGAGTAGCTGGGATTACAGGCATGTACCACCATGCCCAGCTAATTTTGTATTTTTAGTAGAGATGGGGTTTCTCCATGTTGGTTAGGCTGGTCTCGAACCCCCGACCTCAGGTGATCCACCTGCCTTGGCCTCCCAAAGTGCTGGGATTACAGGCATGAGCCACCGCACCCGGCTCAAATCATTTAATTTAAGGATTGCAGCTTAAGACTTGGCATACGGATACTTGGATGACACTGATTTCTTCTGTAACTGGGCAAATCAGTTTCCTCACCAAAAGTGAATATGGTAAAATTACATGTTTATATCATATGATTGTGAGACTCAATAATAGTTTGAGAGCTCAGTATTATCTTTGTAGGAAAGACATAATTTCCAAATTTGATTAGAATTTGAAAATAAATCACATTTTGATCATTGCTAGATACTGTGTCTAAATGTGGAAAAACCTTTGAGAAGGATTTTTGTATTTTTTTTTGACTATTTCAAGTCAATAGAGAAAAGAATTCTGTTGAAATCAGTGAAGTGGTGATAAGTAGTGGGTGGAAGATTACAGCTCAGACTTAATGGGATAGATTTGGAATATTATAGATGGGTGAATTTATTACAAAGCAAATATTACCCCAAATTGTCCTCTAAGAAAATCCTCCCCCAATCTGTTAATGAAAAAAAAATTGTGGTACAATCCTTATAAAATTTACCATTTTAGCCATTTTAAAGTCTTAATGCCAGTTCAGTGGCATTAAGTACATTCATTTTGCTTTGTTACTATCACTGCCATCCATCTCCAGAAAGCTTTTCATCTTGAAAATCTGTTACCGTACTTATTTAACAATAAGTCCTTATATCCCTCTCTCCTCAGCCCCTGGCAACCACCATCCTACTTTCTATCTCTGAATTCGACTCTTCTATTAATAGGTACCTCATATAAGTGGAACATAGAGTATTTGCCCTTTTTTGTGACTGGCTTATTTCACTTAGCATAATGTGCCCAAGAGTCATATATGTTAGCATGCGTCAGGATTTTATTTCTTTTAAAGGCTAAATAATGTTCCATTGTATGTATATACCATATTTTGCTTATTCTTTCACCTTCCATGGACATTTAGGTTGTTTCTACCTTGTAGGTACTGTGAATCATGCAGCCATAAACATTGGTGTTCAAATATATGTTCCAGCTTCTGCTTTCAATTCTTTTGCATATATACCCAGAAGTTAAATTGCTGGATCACATAGTCATTCTATTTTTAATTTTTTTGAGGAACTGTCATATTGTTTTCTATAGTGGCTGCACCACCAAAATTTTGAATGGAGAGAATGTCAGCATCCTGTTTAATAAATTATTTTAAAAATCAGCTCTGAGCAAATGAATTTAGAATTTGGAATATTTGACCAAAAATCAGTTTTACACGTACATAGTATGTTACTGATAAAGGAATGACTAGAGTAGTACACCTACAGTTCTTGCTGGCCAGAGCCAGGAGGGGGTGTAAAGGAATTTCCTGGGTTTAAAAAAGCAGGCAGCATTGATGAATCATGAAGTTCCCCCTACCTCCTTTAATGGTTTTGTAACAAAGAGATGCATTCAGGTGAAAGTTTCAAGTCTTTTTGTAACTATAGAATAACTGTTCTTTTTGTAATTGTAGAATTCTTTAACTTTTTTTTAGGCTGAAGTAGAGAACATGAATCATTTGGTCTGAAACTTTTGAGACCCTATTTGGTTTGCTTACATATGTGAAAATAGTTATCCAAATAATTGCGATTGCTATCAAATAATTTCAATAATATCAGTTACTTCTTTTGGTCTAGAGTCTTCTCCTCCTTAACCTCTTTCTTTTTGGCGAGACAGGGTCTCACTCTGTTACCCAGGCTGGAGTGCAATGGAGTGATCACTGCCCCTTTGAACTTCTGGGCTCAAGTGATCCTCTCACCTCAGCTTCCTGAGTAGGTGGGACTACAGATGTGTGCCACCAAGCCTGGCTAATTAAAAACAAATGTTTAAGCCAGGCATGGTGGCTCACACCTGTAATTTCAGCACCTTGGGAGGCCGAGGCAGGCGGATCACTTGAGGTCAGGAGTTCAAGACCAGCCTGGCCAAGATGGTGGAACCCTGCCTCTACTAAAAACACACACACAAATTAGCCGGGCATGGTGGCTGGTGTCTGTAATCCCAGCTGTGGGAGGCTGAGGCAGGAGAATCACTTGAACCTGGGAGGTGGAGGTTTCAGTGAGCCAAGATCATTTCACCTCACTCCAGCCTGGGTGACAGCGTAAGACTCTCTCAAAAAAAAAAAAAAAAAAAATCAAAATTTTTTATTTTTTTATTGTTTTAGAAACACAGGGTCTTGTTACGTTTTCCAGGCTGGTCTTGAACTCCTGGCCTTAAGTGATCCTTCTACCTCAGCCTCCAGAGTGCTGAGATTATAGGCATGAGCCAACACACCTGGCCTGGTGTTACCTGTTTTTCTATTTATTTTTCTCTGTTGCTGTTAATACAGAGGCAGACATCATAGCTGTACTCAAGTGAAGAAAGAAAAAGAACAACTCTCACTAGTAGTAATATTTTGTTTTAGACTTTCTGAGAAGCCCTTATCTGCCTTGCTAGAAAAGTATTCTTGGCCTGGCGTGGTGGCCTTTGGGAGGCTGAGGCAGGTGGATCACGAGGTCAGGAGATTGAGACCATCCTGGCTAACATGGTGAAACTCTGTCTCTACTAAAAAACAAAAAATTAGCTGGGCATGGTGGCGGGCACCTGTAGTCCCAGCTACTCGGGAGGCTGAGGCAGGAGAATGGCATAAACCCGGGAGGCAGAGCTTGCAGTGAGCCGAGATCGCGCCACTGCACTCCAGCCTGGGCGACAGAGGGAGACTCCGTCTCAAATAAAAAAAAAAAATGTATTCTTTCTGAATTTAGTTCCATTGGTCATAGATTAAGAGTCCCTTTATTTCTTCTCTAATTTGGCATTGATTTGATGTTATTTTCAGTTATGTTTTCTGTAACACACAAATGTGCTTTTGTTTTTCACCCCTAGTCTTTTCAGCTAGTAATACTTTTTGCTGCCTAAATTGCTTGATGAATTTTCTTTTCTTTCTTTTTTTTTGTTTGAGACAGAGTTTCGCTTTTGTTGCCCAGGCTGTAGTGCAGTGGCGTGATCTTGGCTCACTGCAACCTCTGCCTCCTGGGTTCAAGCGATTCTCCTCCCTCAGCCTCCCAAGTAGCTGGGATTACAGGCGAGAACCAACTACGCCTGGCTAATTTTTGTACTTTTAGTAGAAATGGGGTTTCGCCATCTTGGCCAGGCTGGTCCCAAACTCCTGACCTCAGTTGATCCACCCACTGTGGCTTCCCAAAGTGCTGGGATTACAGGCGCTGTGAGCCACTGCGTCTGGCCAAATTTTCTTTTTTTTCTTTTTTTAAAAATTTATTTATTTATTTATTTATTTTTATAGTATTTATTGATTATTCTTGGGTGTTTCTCGGAGAGGGGGATTTGGCAGGGTCATAGGACAATAGTGGAGGGAAGGTCAGCAGATAAACATGTGAACAAGGGTCTCTGGTTTTCCTAGGCAGAGGACCCTGGGGCCTTCCGCAGTGTTTGTGTCCCTGGGTACTTGAGATTAGGGAGTGGTGATGACTCTTAAGGAGCATGCTGCCTTCAAGCATCTGTTTAACAAAGCACATCTTGCACCGCCCTTAATCCATTTAACCCTGAGTGGACACAGCACATGTTTCAGAGAGCACGGGATTGGGGGTAAGGTTATAGATTAACAGCCTCCCAAGGCAGAAGAATTTTTCTTAGTACAGAACAAAATGGAGTCTCCTATGTCTACTTCTTTCTACACAGACACAGCAACAATCCCATCTCTCTTTCTTTTCCCCACATTTCCCCCTTTTCTATTCGACAAAACCGCCATCGTCATCATGGCCCGTTCTCAATGAGCTGTTGGGTATACCTCCCAGACGGGGTGGCGGCCGGGCAGAGGGGCTCCTCACTTCCCAGACGGGGCGGCTGCCGGGCGGAGGGGCTCCTCGCTTCCCAGACGGGGCGGCCGGGCAGAGATGCTCCTCACCTCCCAGACGGGGTGGCGGTCGGGCAGAGACGCTCCTCAGTTCCCAGACGGGGTGGCGGGGCAGAGGCGCTCCCCACATCTCAGACGATGGGCGGCCGGGCAGAGATGCTCCTCACTTCCTAGACGGGATGGCGGCCGGGAAGAGGCGCTCCTCACTTCCCAGACTGGGCGGCTGGGCAGAGGGGCTCCTCACATCCCAGACGATGGGTGGCCAGGCAGAGACGCTCCTCACTTCCCAGATGGAGTGGCGGCCAGGCAGAGGCTGCAATCTCGGCACTTTGGGAGGCCAAGGCAGGCGGCTGGGAGGTGGAGGTTGTAGCGAGCCGAGATCACGCCACTGCACTCCAGCCTGGGCAACATTGAGCACTGAGTGAGCGAGACTCCGTCTGCAATCTTGACACCTCGGGAGGCCGAGGCTGGCAGATCACTCGCGGTCAGGAGCTGGAAACCAGCCCGGCCAACACGGCGAAAACCCGTCTCCACCAAAAAGATACGAAAACCAGTCAGGCGTGGCGGCGCGCGCCTGCAATCCCAGGCACTCGGCAGGCTGAGGCAGGAGAATCAGGCAGGGAGGTTGCAGTGAGCCGAGATGGCGGCAGTCCAGTCCAGCCTCGGCTGGGCATCAGAGGGAGACTGTGGAAACGGGAGATGAGGGAGATGGAGACCGTAGAAAGGGGAGAGGGAGAGGGCCAAATTTTCTTATATTGGGTTATCACCATGGGTCTTTGAAACTTTGCATATGAGCTCCTCTTTGAAATATGGACTTTTCTGTTGCATACTGGTAAGTCACTTACGTTGAGTGACACATAAGTAGTTTCTGTCCGTTTATAATATTTTCTCTTTCTAAATGGAGTTGTGAATCCCACTTCTTTCTTTTTTAGTTTGACACAAAGAAATATTGTCTACAAAAGACAATACCAGACTGTGTGAGCAGAAATGGTATTGATCCAAACAGATATCTTTTGTGATGTTGCGGATTAGGGACCAAACTAAGTATCCATGGAACATCATATTTTTTCATTCCTGGGAGCAAGTAATCTTGTTACCTGTCCTTTCTTTCCTTTCTCCTCTGTCCTCTTTATTTATTAAAGAGACAAATCATGTTGTTTTAGTATTTGGGTTGTAGGTCATTGGGAAAATAAGGTTTTTGCATGTAGAATTAAATTTAATGGTTGGTGGTTAAGGACATGGACTTTGGATTCAGACCACTTGTATTTAAATCACAGCCCTACCACTGACTCTTCTGGTGATCTTTGACCAATCACCTCACACCCCTCTGCCTCAGTTTCCCCATATGAAAAATAAGATAGCACATGTAAAGTGATTAGAAAAGGTGTCTGACATAGAAAGTGTTCAATAAATTTTAGCTGTTATTTTTGACAGTTTTAAGGTATGTACTTGTTCTCTGTTGGGAACTTCAGAGATCATCTATTTGAAGCTTACCAGTTTTCCCTTTGTGGAAATTGAGACCCAGAAAAGAGAAATGACTTGTACAAGGTCATAGGTTGGTTTGAAACAAATTTTGTTTGTTTGTTCGTTTGAGACAGGGTCTCATTCGGCCACCCAGGCTGGAGTGCAGTGGCGTGATCTTGGCTCAGTGCAACCTCCATCTCCCCGGTTCAGGCAGTTCTCCTGCCTTAGCCTCCTGAGTAGCTGGGATTACAGGCGTGTGCCACCACATCCAGCTAACTTTTTAAATATTTTTAGTGGAGATGGGGTTTCACCATGTTGGCCAGTCTGGTCTCGAACTCCTGACCTCAAGTGGTCTGCCCGCCTCGGCCTCCCAAAGTGCTGGGATTTCAGGCATGAGTCACTTTGCCTGGCTGAAACAAATATTTTATCCAGGTACATATAAGAGTGTTCATTTTCCAGCTAATTTGTCAGCTTGGAGTTCTTGAAGAAAACAAAAACTGCTCTTTAGAAATTTCTACAAATGAGGAAACTTACGTATAAAATAAATTAGCAGTGCTTGGCTGTCATGTAGTAGATCTTCAGGAAGGAAGGAAGGAAGAGAAAGGTGGCACTTTGTCTATTCCTTGTTTACCATTTAGTGCCATGCTTCTGTGTTCACAGGTGTTCAGAAGCCTTGGAATGCACATAGTGTCTCTAGATTAGCTGAGTATGATAGAGTTGATGCCTGTTGTTTGCCTGACTGGTTTTATGGACCTTGTAGATCAGGGGTCAGCAAACTATATCTTGCAGGCCAGCTGCCTGTTTTTATAAATAAGGATTTATTGCAACACAGCCATACCCGTTCATTTACCTTTATCTGTGGTGGTTTTCTTGCTAGAGTGACAGAGATGAGTAGTTGAGACAGAGATTTTAATGGCCTTACAAGCCTAAAATATTTACTGTCTGGGCATTTAAGGTAAAGTTATTTCTCCGCTCCCCCCATGAAATCAGTACTTTTCTAGGTTTTAGTAAATTCAGAGGGCTGGAGTGTTTGAATGCCTGCTAGGTGGCAATATGTGGTTACACCTCCATAAGGGGCAGTTGTTAGAACATTGTACTTAGGTAGACTGGCTGTAGCTGTTGTCTTTTTGTTTTGTTTTAGGTTTTCTTAGCTGTGGTTCTTTGAGAAAGTCATTTGCCTTTTGTAGGCTTCATTTATTCAGTCTATAAAATGGTGATCTGGGACAGGTGTGGTGGCTCCCACCTGTATTCCCAGCACTTTGAGAAGAAGAGGCACGGGATCACTTGAGGCCAGGAGTTTGAGATCAGCTTGGGCAACATAACAAGATCGTGTCTCTACAAAAAAAAATAAATTTTTTTTTTTTAAATTAGCTGGGTGTGATAGCATGTGCTTGTAGTCCTAGCTACTCAGGAGGCTGAGGTAAGAGGATATGATTGCACCGCTGCACACCAGCCTGGGTGGGTGACAGAGAGACCCTGTCTCGAAAAAAAAAGAATGGTAATCTGTGTAGAGCTATATGTACCTGTAAGCAGAAGACTGGACTAGGTCAGGCCAAATAGAATCCAGAGAATCACTTGGCAGCCGTGGGACTGAGGACAATCAATTGTAATTCAGATAACTGACCTAGATTAGGGGTCAGAATATTACAGCCTGAGGGCCAAACCACCACCTTTTTTTGTAAATAAAGTCTTACTGGAATATAGTCGTGCACGTATGTTTACATGTTGTCTCTGGTTATTTTTGTCCTTAATAGCAGAGTTGAGTAGTTGACTGCATGTCCTGCAAAGCCTAAAATATTTACCCTGCTCCTTTTAGGAGAGTTTGCTGATCCTTGATCTAGATCAGTGGTTTTCAACCAAGGGTGATTTCTGTCCCCCAGGGGACATTGGGCAATGTCTGGAAACACTTTGGTTGTCACAGCTTCGGGCTGCTACTAGCATTTAGTGCACAGAAGCAAACGATGCTGCTACACATTCTATAATGCACAGGCATCGCCCGATAGTAAAGAATTTTCTGGCTCAAAATGTTGACAGTATTGGAGAATCCTGATTTAAACTAATGGTTCTCAAACTTTAGTTTGCATCAGAATAATTTGGAGGGCTTGTTAAACCACAGGTTGCTGGACCCCCACCTCAGAGTTTCTGACTCAGTGGGTCTGGTGTAGGGTCTGCAAATTTGCATGTTTTACCAGGTTTCCTGGTTATGCTGATGCTTCTGATCCAAGGACTACACTTGAGAATTGCTGAGCTAGATGACTTTTGAAATTCCGTCCATTCCTGTGATTCTTTGATTTTGTGATCTTAAGTACTGTTCCATTTCTGTGACTTAGCAAAACGTTTTATGACATGGTTTGGATGTTTGTCCCTTCCAAATCTTATATTGAAATGTGACCTCCAAAGTTGGAGGTGGGTCCTAGAGGTAGATATTGGATCATGGGGGTGGATCCCTCATAAATGGCTTAGCACCATCCCCTTGGTGATGAGTGAATTCTTGCTCAGTTAGTTCACGTGAGATCTGATTGTTTAAGAGTCTAGGGCCAAGTGTGGTGTCTCACACCTGTAATCTCAGCACTTTGGGAGGCCAAGGCCGGTGGATCACTTGAGGTCAGGAGTTTAAGACCAGCCTGGCCAACATGGTGAAACCCCATCTCTACTAAAAATACAGCTGGGTATGGTGGCGTGCACCTGTAGTCCCAGCTACTTGGGAGGCTGAGGCGTGAGAATCGCTTGAATCTGGGAGGCAGAGGTTGCAGTGAGCTGAAATCGCGTCACTGCACTCCAGCCTGGGCGACAGAGCAAGACTCTGCCTCAAAAAAAAAAAAAAAAGAAAAAGAAAAGAAAAAGAAATAAGAGTCTGAGATCTTCACCATTTTCTCTCTGTCTGGCTCCCTCTCTTGCCATGTGATAGTCTGGGTTGACTGTGAGAGGCTGTCTCCCGCTTTGCCTTACACCATGATTGTAAGCTCCTTGAGGCCCTCACCAGAAGCTAGCGGATGCTGGCACCATGCTTTCTGTATAGCTTGAGAACCATGAGCCAACAAACCTCTTTTCTGTATAAATTACCCAGCCTCAGATTTTTTTTATAGCAACACAAGAATGGACTAACAGAGTATATTTCAGTATACTGATGCTTGATGCTTAGGCTGTTTCATGACTTCACATTTTTGGATCCTTACTTTTCATGTTCCTTTGGAAAGTTTCTATTTCTCTTTCAAAAACCACCTCCTACCTTTTGCTTGTAACATTCATACCTTGTACCCAGTTAGGGTTAATAGTTTCTTTTCTATTTTGTACATCTCTCTTCTTTTGAGTCTTATGTTAGATTGTCAGTGATCAATTTACATGTTTCTTTCTCGTACTGTCAGCTCTGTTGGGGAAACAACTGTCTGGATCTTAACCATCTGTTCCTACAGTATCTAGTAAAAGGTGCTCAGTGACTATTTACTGAAGGAATATTCTTAGTTTAGGCTGTTATGGTACAAATGGAATAGAATTGTAAATGTTTATGTATTTTTGATATCTATCATTGACATGATTTTGAATAATAAAATCTGTCATTGAGAAAATAAAGATTTGACTAAATTGAGGGTTGTAACTTTAAAGTGATGCATATATAGAGAAGTACAAAACACTTCTGCTCTTGTTTAGCTTTTATTGAGGGGCTCAATAAGATGTGATAAAATATAGGCCTTGAGGCCAAGAACTTTGTAAAATTTGAATGCTGCTGCTGAATTTGCTGTTTTATTCACTCTTCCTGATTATAATTTCATTCTCAAATGGATTTTAAGGCATACATTTTATTTTCAAGTCAAAATTGTTCACCATGTTAAATCACTAGTCATTGACTTTAAGGTGAGTTTGAGTTAATTTCAAAAAGCAGTCTGGTAAAATTAACAGAATAATTACACCTGGCTTTATATTTACTTGTGGTTATGGGGGAATAATAGAGATAGGAAGAATGAGATGTCAGGTTGTGGTAAAGGAAGAAGGAGGAGTTTTCAGGTTATGTGCACCTTAATGGCTTTCAGGTGGGGTTTGAGTCACCTAGTTTTTCTCTTTGCAGTTCATCCAGGCTCCCTGGATTCTTTAATGATTGAACTATAATAGAAGAGTGTTAGTGAGAGGAAAGCTTCTTCTCTTTTGCCCTCCCCATCCTCTTTTTCCCTAAGGGAAGTAGTGGTTGAATTTGTTTTTTAAAATCAATTTTAGATGTATCCTTTCTTTAATAGGGAAAGAGTAATAGCAGTAACTTCTAGCTTTTGGTTACTTTGTATATGTCAGGTACTGTGCTAGGCTCTTAACATCTAATCTTTACAGTGATCTTTTATTGGGATATAGTGATATGGTTCTCCATGAATGATTTCTGTATATCTTCTCAGCAGAGGCACTGAATGCCTTTTTTTCCATCTTTCCAAAGATTTTTGTATTCCTAACAGCCTTGAAAGATAGAGATAATGTCTCCCTCTTGGGTGAAGGGAGGTAGGCATACTTTCCACTCTAAAAGATTTGGGTTCTTTAGGCTGTGAGTTCCTCTTCTGTATTGCATTCCACTGCATGTGCAGGTATCACTTGGTCTATTTTGTGTTGCCCTATAGGAAATGGGATTGGAGAACCAGCACAAGAACATGCTGATACTTTGACTACTAATATTGCTGTGAATCATAAAGTTCATTGTCTCTGACCTGGGAGTCAATGTCTTCTGCCAGCATCCACGAAACTGGCAGGCTAAGTTGTTAGCTTGCTAGCAGGATAAAACTCAGATCCTTTAGTTTTTAAGTTTTGGCAGCAAGGATGGATGTTGACAGACACGTGACATTCTGGAAGAAGAAAGATGAGGGTGTCTTCATAGGTTGGTTAACAGAATTTGAGGGAAGTCCTTGGGAATTGGTAGAAACATGTTGCCCAAATTAAGTGGTTCTCTACTTTATTGCCTATTAATGACGAGATATTGGGGAAGTGGTTACAGACTGAGTTCCAGGACATAGGTTCAAAGATAGCTGCCTGAACATTCCTCTGGTTGTTGCCAACTCTCCTTTGGGTGGGGAGGATATTTTTCACCAATCTGGAGGTCACCCTCAAATCCTCCCCAGTGTAACAACTTAGGGAGATTTGTCCTGATTGGGCAAAAGCTTCTGTTCCCTTTCAGACAAGACTTACAGATGTATGTGTACCTACACTGAGTGTGAAAGGAGGCAAATTTGTAACTTAACGTGGGCAGAAAAGAAAGTTGTTAGAATTTTGCTTTGCCTGAGAGATGGAGTGCATAATGTCTTATGGCTCAGCCCGTCCTCTGGAGGAAACTTTAGTTCCCACTTCACTGTCTGAAGCAAAGCCGTCAGCTCAGTGGGGTCATTAATTCATAGAGGTTTCACCCTAAACCTGGTCCTGGTTTGCTGATGGTTTAGTCAAGCTGAAAGCTTACTGTGTCTGCTTGACTTCTAGGGCTGTTCAGCCTCTGTACTAGCTATGCAGACTGATAATGGATGTGATTGCTCTGTTCTCTGGACAGAACTCAAGGCTTTTCTTATAGCTCTGATTGGTACTCTTCTTGATGAAACTTGTTGTATTTCTACGGACCTTTGCCTGTTGCTAATGGCCTAGCTCTTTGGTCTGCCACTTGGAAAGCTATAGACTGGCAAGTTAAAGATAGCTCTTGTTAAAGCTGTGAACTATGAAAACAAATTATACTTGCTGATCAAACCATCTGGATCACTCATCTAGATGCCCTTAGTAAGGGCCTGTCTTCTGATGAAGCCCACTGGAATCAAGCTTCTGATTGAGTGTACACTGCCCAGAGCCATATTCATTATATTGGATATGACGAATATCAACTATCATAAACTGAACACAAAGCAAAGGACTGTGACACAGAGGGTGCCATTACATGCCAGACTTGTGCCTCCTGCTAAAAGTTTAACCGTTTGTCACATGATGAGAGAAGCCAGTGGCATGGGATGTGGCTCCTGCTTGCTCCTGGCAGATTGAATACATTGGACCTTTGACCTGCCTATTCAGCCAGCTTCCTATCAGTGGTGCCTCACTCCTGTTGCCATTTTTTTTTATGGTTTTGATGTTGCTGTTCTAGTCCAATCAGCTGGCTCTGGCCACGCCATCGTGACCCTAGAAACCAATCTGTGTTATACTTTTGGCTTTCTGGACTGTTTGCAGTCTAACAGTAGTGCACCTTTTATCGTACAAGCCACTCAGCAATGAACTGATTGTCAAGGTATTTGATGCTTCCATGCTCCCTGCCGTTCATAGGCATCTGGTATGTGGATAAACATTGAATATTGGAACAGCTTCTTCAAAAATTGACTCAACGATTTCTGATTCTACATCCTTCACCTCCTCTTGATCCACACACCTTACTTATTAGAAAGCCAGTTTTGCCACTGATTGTAGCTGTCCCCAGAAAAGGATTATCTCGTCTTGATCACTCCTGAGTAATGATCAGAATGGAAGGGGTGGGAGGTTATATAGCCCTATTTTGAGAATTCAGGATTCCACCCTGACCAATTTTAGGCATGATGTTTCTTTTTACCCCCTAGTAACAACCCAAGGCCAGCCTGGTTGGTATCTATCTTCTATGTGGCAGCTAGGCCAAAAGATGGCTTAAGGAATTCAGACTTAATTCTTGTTCAGTTACCTAGATTCTCTTGTTGAATTGATATTATTCTAGGTCATCAGGATAGTGACTATTTGGTTGAGTATACTGCTTGCTGAGTCTCTGTATGGTAGACAGTGGGGACCATAATGGGTTTCTGTAGGTTTTATGCAAATTCCCTTGACCCTCTTGCGCCTGACATTTCCAGATGAAAGGTCTGGGTGTTGTGAGTAAAAGGTGATTGGGAAAAAGGTGAAGTTATAGCTGCTGGAATGGGACATACTGATTTTGTAGCAATGGACAGAGAGCAGCAATCCTGACACTTGGTGGAGGGACCATCTTAGACCCCAGGAGGTTTAGAGAAGGTAAAGACATTAATGTTCATTTTCTTTCAGAATCGCCCTTGAAGCCTTCCTCATAAAGAAAACACTCTGGTGCAGCTCCTCCAAATTGTTGTTATCACATTAAATTTAGCTGACTGCTGGGTCTGCCATCCCTGCTGGGTCTGCCATCCCCCATGGCTCTGATCATGATTTGTCATTCCCTGTAAACTTACTGGGAGGTCTACTGGAAACAGCAGTGGTTGGCTCCAGGTCATGTACCTTCCATGCAAAACACCTGTGAACACTTCTTTACTCCCATCTCATCAACTTCACTCAGATTCTGTGGGGTAGATTTTGGCCACCTGGCTTATGGCCTGGACAAATGGGACAGATTGGACTGACTGCCATCATTCAGTCCTTTCAAAAACAAGGACTAGACTCACTGTTCTGAACTGAACTGAGTGGGAACCTTGTGCTGCGACACAATTTGACAATGCCTCCTTGACTGATGTAGGTTCTCCTTAGAAAGACCTAGTGATTCTGAACAACCCTCTCTTTTCCGATGTACCATGTGTGTCCTTGGGACTGTACTTCTTTTGTGTAACCCAGGTATTAGCTTATCTCCCTCCTAGAAACATGGACCTTCCTCTACCTTTGAATGTTTAAGGAAACACCATTAAATCTTGTTGCCTTTAGATAACTGTGTAGAGCTCTCTAAAATGAGGCCATGCTTGCTTGCTTGGGGAAACTTCCTGGAATGATAACTGATTAGTTATTTAGGCACACCCTGTGAAGAATTATCTTTATAAGGGGAGTCATTCAATTAGACTAGGCAGTGCAAAATTCATTCCTGACTTTTTAACTGAACTAACCAATGACAACACCTTGGCCCTGGAAGGCATTAAGGTCTGCCTCAATTCACTGACAAGAGTTATTATGGATGATAAAATTGCCCTGGACTTTTTTCTTGTGAGCCAAGGCAGAGTCTGTACAATTAACTAATATATCTTATTGTTCCTAGATTAATATCTTAGGCCAAAAGGAAAGATCAATACAGAAAGCTACTTGGCTTTCTGAGGTAGACCCTGATGGCTTATGGGATTTCATTATCTTATTTGGGTGTGGGATTCTAAGAAACATGGTTGAAATCAGTTCTGAAAATTGACCTCATCCTGCTGCTTGGAGTCTTGTTGATAGTAGCCTTAATTAAATGATGTATGATACCAATTGATCAGATTTAGTTCAAGCCTCTGTCAGTTGGATTAATCAGAGTGCCTGATAGTGGCATACTTGTGAGAAAATTTATCAGCTGCCAAGATGGTTAGAAATGAGGAGTGGATGTTGTTGGGACACAATTCTCTATGTCTCGTATGTTTCTGCACATCTTGTGAATAGGGTACTGATTGTTCTAGATTTTCTTCTCAAGGATGTTATATTGCTACCAGACTAGATAGTGTTTCCCCAGAGGGCTGGTTGCTTGCACCTTGAAGGTAAAGATACTTTCTCCCTCCACAGCAAAGGTCAGGTATGCTTACAGTCCATTATGAAAGATTCACATTCCCTAAGCACAGGGTTCCTCTCCCGTAACGCAATCCATGATGTATGGCCCACTCTGTGTCACCCTATGGGAAATTGGCCTTGGGAATTGGTGTAAAAATTGCTGATACTCTGTAAAAAAAAAAAAAACAACGACAACTAAAACTCTGGCTGCCGTTATTGTGAGGAATAAATTGCTTTGTCCTTGTCTTAGGAGTCCTGTATCTTCCTCCAATATCCATGAAATTGTAACAGGCCAGGTTGTTAGCTTGCCAGTAAGTAGGGTGGATTCTTAGCTTTTTTGTAGTTGTTACCACCCTGCAAGGTAGGTAATCCCTCATTTTGCATATTGATCTTAGAGATAGTAATTATAATAACTACAACTAACATTTACTGAACATTTAATTCCCTTCCCTTCCCTTTCCCCTCCCTTTCCCTCCCCTCCCCTTCCTTAAAATACAGTGTGGTTTACAACAAAGTTTACATGTGATGTGGTGCAGTGGCACCATCATGGCTTACTACACCTGGCTAATTTATGTGTACATATATATACACTTTTTGTAGAGATGGGGTTTCACTATGTTGCCCAGGCTGGTCTCAAACTCCCGGGCTCAAGCGATCTGCCCACTTCGGCCTCCCAAAGTATTGGCATTACAGGCATGAGCCACCGCATCTGGCCTGAACGTTTTCCTTCTGTTGGGCTCTGTGATAACTGTTTCATTTGCATTATCTCATCTAATTGTTATATGCCATCTAATTTGTAACAGCCATTGTTGTTATTTCCATATAAAGATGGAGAACATGGAGGGGTAAAGAGGTTAAGTAATTATCTAATGACAGATAGTAACAAGGGTGGGATTGGAACTCAGATTTGTTCGACTACAAAGTAAAATGTATGTATGACCTTATATATCCACATTTTCTCAAATGGGTATGCTAGGCAGTACTCAGCTGCAGTTTACTGGCATAATAAAAAAAGAAATACATGGTTTTAAAAAATATTAAAAATCATTTTCACAAAGTATGTATAAAATTTACATGAATTTTAAATAGAAAATTAGGTTTCAAAGACATTGTAAGGAGGTAGCTTGCTTCTCTTTGGGTCCAATGGGGGAACGTGTTTCCCTCCAATGAGGGAACATATTTCCCTTCTATTGTTATGCCCACAGTTGTGGAAAAATTATTAATAAGTACTGCACTTTACCACATTGTCTTTTATAAAGCAAATTCAAATGCATCCAAACTTGGCTCAGTGGGTCATGCCTATAATCCCAGCACTTTGGAGGCCAAGGTGGGAGGATCGATTGAGCCCAGGAATTCAGTATTGCCTGGGCAGTATAGTGAGATCTTGTCTCTACAAAAAACTTGAAAAATTAGCTGAGGACTGGCACGGTGGCTCATGCCTGTAATCTCAACAGTTTGGGAGGCTGAGATGGGTGGATCACTTGAGATCAGGAGTCCCAGACTGGCCTGGCCAACATGGTAAAACCCCATCTCTACCAAAAAAAGAAAATACAAAAATTAGCTGGGCGTGGTGGCTGGCACCTGTAGTCTCAGCTACTCGGGAGGCTGAGACACGAGAATCGCTTGAACCCAGGAGGCGGAGGTTGCAGTCAGCTGAGATCACACCACTGCACTCCAGCCTGGGCAACAGAGTGAGTGAGCCCTTGTCTCCAAAAACAAAACAAAACAAAACAAAAAGTTGAGCGTGGCAGCGCGCACCTGTAAGTCCCAGCTACTGAGGAAGCTGAGGTGGGAGGATTGCTTGAGGCTGGGAGATGGAGGTTGCAGCGAGTCAAGATTGTGCCACTGCACTCTAGCCTGAGTGACAGAGTGAGACTGTGTCTTAAAAAAAAAAAAAAAACCAAAAAAACCCCAAACTGCATCCAAGTATTTTTTGATCCCTTCTTTATCTTTATTCTTTAAAGGTGATTTTTAAAATTTATTGTAGCTTTATGGTATGCAAAAAGAGAGGACAGTGTAGTTTTGCTGGTGTCCCTGGATTGACCAAGGCTAATAGAGAGATGGAGAAACAAAATCTTCCCAAAAAATGAGAGCTTATTGACTGCTTATCTTCAAGTTGTGTGTGACAATGGTTGCTACTGAGATTACGTAGTTACTAGTATTTTTACGTCACTTTTACGTTCATCAGTGCCTGTACATTACTTTCATTTTTAAAATTCTTTCTTGAAAGTACTGAAAGTACCTGTAAATAATTATGTTAGTATAAATCTATATCAATGCAAAGTAATTTGCTTAATTTTTCTGGGCATACTGTCAGTTTTGGGTATATTCCCAACGTCCTAGTAGTAGAACTTGAAACAAAAATAATGGTGTAGACCAGGCATGTTGGCTCATGCCTATAATCCCAGCACTTTGGGAGGCAGAGGCAGAATTGCTTGAGACCACGTGTTTGATAACAGCTTAGACGACATATTGAGACCTCATCTCTACAAAACAAATGAACAACAGAAACATAATGGTATAGTGGCAAGTTGATACATGTGAACTTTGTTGTAAACTGCATTGTATTTTAGAAGAGTAAAATAATGCTTACTGATTACTTTGGAATAATATAGTAAAAATACTCTGCCAATGCTGACTGGATAGATATTTGATGATATGAAATAACTTTTTTTTAAATCTGGTAATGTACTTACTGGGTTTTAAGAAAAGGAGTCCTGTGGCTGGGCATGGTGGCTCGACGCCTGTAATCCCAGCACCTTGGGGTGCCGAAGTGGGCAGATTGCTTGAGCTCAGGAGTTTGAGACCAGCCTAGGCAACATGGTAAAACTCCATCTCTACAAAAAAATACAAAAATTAGCCAGATGTGGTGGTACGTGCCTGTAGTCCCAGCTACTCGGGAGGCTGAGGCACGAGAATTACTTGAACCCATGAGACAGTGGTTGCAGTGAGCTGAGATCATGCCACTGCACTCCAGCCTGGATGACAGAGTGAGACCTTGTCTTAAAGAAAAAAACAAGAAAATAAAAAAGTACTTTTATTGACATACTGTAATACTTATGGGTGAAATGATATATCTAGAATTTACTTCAAAATGACCTTCAATAAATGTGATTCACCACATAAACAGAATTAAAAGCAAAAACCATATGATCATCTCAATAGATGCAGAAAAAGCTTTCAATAAAATCTAACATCCTTTCATGATAAAAACCCTCCACAGACTAGGCATGGAAGGAACATACCTTGAAGTAATAACAGCCATCTATGATGAACCCACAGCCAACATCATACTTAATGGGCAAAAGCTGGGTCCATTCCCCTTGAGAACTGGGACAAGATGAAGATGCCTACTCTCACCACTCCTGTTCATCATAGTACTGGTCATAGTACATAGTCCTAGCCAGAGCAGGCATTCAAATAGGGAATGAAAAAGTCAAACTATACCTAGAAAACCCTAAGGACTCTGCCAAAAGCTCCTAGAACTGTTAAACAATTTTAGCAAGGTTTCAGGATATAAAATCAGTGTACAAAAATCCAGTAGCATTTCTATACACCAGTAACGCCCAGGCTTAGAGTCAAATCAAGAGCACAATCCCATTTACAATAGCCACAAAGAATATGAAATACCTATGAATACAGTTAACCAAGGACGTGAAAATCTCTACAAGGAGAACTACAAAACACTGTTGAAAGAAATCAAAGTTGAAACAAATGAATGAAAAAACATTTCATGCTTATGCATTGGAAGAATGAATAGCATTAAAATGGCCATACTCTCCAGAGCAATTTATACATTCAGTGCTATTCCTATCAAACTACCAAGATTATTTTTAACAAAACTAAAAAAACTATTCTAAAATTCACATGGAAGCAAAAATGAGCCCAAATAGCCAAAGCATTCCTAAGCAAAAAGAACAAAGTGGGAGGCATTATACCACCCAACTTCAAAGTATACTATAAGGCTATAGAGACCAAAACAGCATGGTACTGGTACAAAAACAGACACATAGACCAATGGAACAGAATAGAAAACTCAGAAATAAAAGTTGCACTTCTACAACTGATATTTGACAAGGCTGACAAAAACAATGAGGAGAGGACCCCTTATTCAATAAATGGTGCTAGGATAACTAGCTGTATGCAGAAGGATGAAACTAGACCCTTACCTTTCACCATATATGAGAATTAACTCAAGATGGATTAAAGATTTAAATGAAAGACCTCAAACCAGGAAAATCCTAGTAGAAGAAAACCCAGGAAATATCCTTGATATTGGCCTTCGCAAAGAATTTTTGGTTAAGTCCCCAAAAGTAATTGCAACCAAAACAAAAATTGACAAGTGGGACATGATTAAACTAAAGAGCTTCTGCACAGCAAAAGAAACTATCAACAGTGTAAACAGACAACCTACAGAATGGGAGAAAATATTTGCAAGTCTATGCAGATTGTGTATGTTTATAGCAGAGCCATAGCATTTCCAGGGGATGGATCCTGGGGGTACCCTGAGTTAATAATGGATACAGAGCCATCTTTTGATGAAAGGGTACTGGTGACATACATAGCTGGTCCTAGGACTCAGTTTCATATACATTCCTACTGAGTTTTTAGGAGACCTTTATGAAGGTAGTGGCAAGGAGCTCCCTCCTGGCCAGGGAACGTCTGTCTTGCAGTTGCTATTTGTTACCCATGGGAAATGTGTGAAACTGTAGAGTCCTGGCTTTTAGTTATTTTCCACAATTGCTATAGTAATGTCAGATAGGATGTTCTGAGCTTGCCTAACCAGACATTTACTCAGAATATTCTTAGTGGTATGGTTGGCATTGTGGTCAGAGAAGACAGATGGGTATATCATGGAGTTTTGTCAGTATAAGCGATTGTGCCTAATAAAAAAACAGTGTCTTTAATTCTTACTGCTTTAAATCAGTATGTACTGAGGGTATACCAGGCATTAATTTATTCAACAGATATTTAAATGACCTCACATGTCTTGTGATGCAAGGATGTAAGGAATACAGAGAAATACATATTACCCGACATGGTTTTTATTCATATTTTCACTCACTTGACAAAGATTTTTCGATTATCTGCTCTGTGGCAGGCATTATACTAGGTACAGGTGAATAGGGATTAGGAAGAGGAAGAAGAGATACAAAAATTAAGATAGGGGCATTTTTCTTAAAATCCTTGTAAATAATTGTAGTGCAGAATAACAATAAAGGAATATAGAACTTGGCTCCAGTGGTTAAAATGGGTATACTCATGTAGTACTTTAAACTAATAATATTAGATATGTCATAGGGCAAAATACAACTATCTATCAGATGGTTGGTAAAACCATGAGAATCATATGGTACAAAGTCCCAGGGCTGAAATCCCTTCTGTATCTTTCCTCATGTCCATCTTTTGCTTGAAAATTTTGGTAATTAGGGGATCACTACTTTGTAAGGCAGCTAATAAAATTTTACCTCTTTGTAACTTACTGATTTACTCTGGACCTATACAGAATCTGCGCCCCGCCCCACCCCACCATATGAAGGCAACTATGTTAGCATTAACTCTTATCTAAGTCCTAATTTTTCAGTTCTTTCCACCACTCTTACTACTTAGCTCCCCTCTGGATGTGCTTGTCTGTCAATGAAACACTTCAAAAGAAGAGATCAAGAGTCAATACAATATTCCAAAAGAGATCTGGAATACAGTAGAGTGGACTTTCACCTAGTTGTGCACATTGTATTATTATTAATGCACAATTAATAGTAATACCTTAAAATTTTGACACATATTGAGTGGGTGGTAACATAAAGATCCCACCTGAGTAAGGCATACCTCCCTCATCCTAAATTCAATCATTTGAATTTCTCCAGCTCAATGAAGAACTTTGTCAACTTGAATCTTTCTACCTGCTCTTAAATTCCTACAGAGATGATTCTCTGTAGGAATTTGCTCCATTGGTTTTCTCCTACATTTCCTTTGGCTTCTGCATCTCTGCTTCGTCTGACTCCCTCTTCTCAGCCTATTTCAGGTTTAAAAATTTGCCAAGTTTCTCCCAGTGTAAAAATACCTTTCATTGATCCTATGTTTTATTCTAGATGATTCCATGTTTCTCTCTCCTTCCCCTCATATTTCTTCTCTTCAGCATTAATGTACATGAAGAGTCTGTCCTGTCCCCTTTTCCTTTCCACTCTACCGCATCCCATGTGGTTTCCAAATAATCATCCTTTCCTTGGTTTTCACTATCCATTAAATATAAGCTGCTAAGTCCAAAAGCAGCAGCCTCATTTCTGTCCTCCTTTGAATTTCATATTAAATTGCTTACATAGAATGAAGGTCGAGTTCACTGGCAGGCTAACAAAGCTCCTTGTAATTTGGCCTTATATGCCCTATGCCTTCTGCTGTAGTAATACTTTGATGCTTGTAATTTTCTTGAACTTACGTCATTTTGTGTCTCTGCTTTTGTCAGTTCTCCTGACTCTTAGTTTTGCCTGACTCTGTCTTCATAGACTTGTGTGTAGGCATTATTATCTCCTGTGAAGTCTTCTCTGACAGTTACTTACTCCCTCCTCTGTATTTCTCATTCTTCTTCTTTTTTAAAAAAATAGATCTGCAATACCCATATGTATTTCTCATTCCTATATATCCATCTGTCATTATAGCTATCACATTACTTTGTAAATATCTGTTTGTCTTTCTTACTAATTTGTGAGTTCTTTACAGCCAGGAAGTATATGTTACTTGTTTTGCTATTTCTGGTACCTGGCATGCTTCCTGGCACATAGTACGTTCTCACTGAATATTAAATTGAGCTGAACTAGTTAATTTTGAGCTTGTTGAAATAAGAAGGAAAAGATAATGGTTGGGTCTTTGGATGTTTATTTTGTCATCAGAATGCAGCTGTTTTAGCTTTCTGTCATTTGCATATGTAAATGGACATTAGTTTGTTAGTTAACACTGTCTGAGTGCCCTGAGGTTTGGGACTGTGTCATGTTCATCTCAGTATTACTAGTACCTAGTACATTGCCTAGGAAATTTCAGGATGTCAGTACTTATTAAAATGGGGCAAATGAAGTTGAAATCAGATGAAAACATTGATGCTGCAAATATACCACATCACTAGTAGCGTTCATAATTACTTCTATGTGTTAGCTTTAAGAATAAATCTGGCTGGACGTAGTAGCTCATGCCCGTAATCCCAGCACTTTGGGAGGCTGAGGCAGGAAGATCCCTTGAGGTCAGGAGTTCGAGTCAGCCTGGCCAACATGGTGAAACCCCATCTCTAGTAAAAATACAAAAATTAGCTGGGGGCGTGGTGGTGGGTGCCTATAATCCCAGCTACCTGGGAGGCTGAGGCATGAGAATTGCTTGAACCTGGGAGGCAGAGGTTGCAGTGAGCTGATACCCTGCTACTGCACTCTAGTCTGGGTGACAAAATGAGACTCCATCTCAAAAAAAAAAAAAAGAGAGAGTAAATCAGGCCAGGGGTGATGACTCATGCCTGTAAGCCCAGCACTTTGGGAGGCCGAGGCAGGAGTTTGAGACCAGCCTGGGAAATATATGTTATATTCTTGACATGCTAGTCAAGTTATCTATCAAAAAATATTTTGGCATGAACTATTCATAATGAATTCATGGTGATTTGTAATGATCATCCTTCCTAGAAAAATATGTATAGGCCAACATCTTTATTAATTATAAAATTTTGGCATTAATTGATGGCAGCATACAAAGTTTGTAGTTATCTTAATTTTTGTTTTTCTCTCCTTTTGAAATTCTACCATTTCTCCTATTTAAAACAATTCTCAAATATTTCTTGTTGGTTATATGGATCTTATTGCCACATTTTTCAATACCTTTGCAGTTAGTTGGTGTGAGACATAAATATACAGATTTAAGAAGCTTAGTGAATACCAAGTAGGTTTAATGCAAGGAAAATCACATGTAGGCACATCATAATCAAATTGCTAAAAACCAAAGATAAAGAGAAAAATCTTTAAAACATCCAGAGGAGGGGGAAAAACATTCATGAATAGAACAGTGACAAGAGTGATAGCTAATGTCTAATCAGAAACAGTGGAATACAGAGGATAATGGAATAATATCTTTAAAGTGTTGAAAGAAAAAAAATCAACTAGAATTTTATATTCAGCAAAATTATCCTTCAAAACCAAAAGTGAAGACTTTAAAATTTTTTCAGTCACTTATTTATTATTATTTTTGAAACTCACTGTGTCACCCAGGCTGGAGTGCAGTGGTGTGAACATGGCTTATTGCAGCCTTGATTTCCTGGGCTCATGTGATCCTTCTGTCTCAGCCTCTTGTGTAGCTGAGACCACAGGTGTGCACCACCATGCTTGGCTAATTTTTTAATTTTTTTGTAGAGACGGGGTCTCACTTTGTTGCCCAGGCTGGTCTCAAACTTCTGGGCTCAAGTGATCCTCCTGCCTTGGCCTCCCAAAGTGCTAGAATTATAGGCATGAGCCACCATACCTGGCCAAGACAGTGTTATATGATCAAATATGAGAAGATCTGTTGCCCACAGACCTGCATATTATAAGAAATTATAAAGAAATTTCTTTGGGTTGTAGAGGAATGGTATCAGATGGAAATATGGATCTACAGAAGACATGAAGAACACTGAAAATTTCATATATATGGGTAAGTATTTAAAAAATTATGTGGAAGTAAAATATGTGACAACAGTAGCAGAAAGGAAAGAAGTATTGTAAGGTTCTTACATTATATGGGGTGCGGTAATATTAACTCAAGGTAAACTGATAAGTTCTGGAGGGATATTGTAATTCTGAGAACAACCACTAATAAATAGGAGAAATATAGTTAAAAAGCTAATAGAAGAGATAAAATAGATTACTAAAAATATGCTGATATGGTTTGGCTGTGTCCCTACCCAAATCTCAACTTGAATTGTATCTCCCAGAAGTCCCACGTGTTGTGGGAGGGACCCAGGAGGAGATAAATGAATCATGGGGCCTGGTCTTTCCCTTGCTATTCTCGTGATAGTGAATAAGTCTCACAAGATCTGATGGGTTTATCAGGGGTTTCCACTTTTGCTTCCTTCTCATTTTTCTCTTGCCGTTGCCATGTAAAACTTCTGTCATGATTCTCAATGATTCTGAGGTCTCCCCAGCCATGTGGAACTGTAAATCGAATTAAACCTCTCTTTGTTCCCTGTTTTGGATGTGTCTGTATCAGCAGCATGAAAACAAACTAATACAGTAAATTGATATCAGTACAGTGGGGCGTTGCCGAAAAGGTACTGGAAAATTTGGATGCGACGTTGGAACTGGGTAACAGGCAGAGGTTGAAACAGTTTGGAGGGCTCAGAAGAAGGCAGGAAAATATGGGAAAGTTTGGAACCTCCTAGAGACTTGTCGAATGGCTTTGACAAAAATACTATTAGTGATATGAACAATAAGGTCCAGGCTGAGGTGGTCTCAGATGGAGATGAGGAACTTGTTGGCAACTGGAGCAAAGGTGACTCTTGTTATGTTTTAAGCAAAGAGACTGGTGGCATTGTGCCCCTGCCCTAAAGATTTGTGGAACTTTGAACTTGAGGGAGATGATTTAGGGTATCTGGCAGAAAACACTTCTAAGCAGCAAGGCATTCAAAAGGTGACTTGGGTACTGTTAAAAGCACTCCATTTTAAAAGGACAAAAGAGCATAAAAGTTCAGAAAATTTGCAGCCTGACGCAGTAGAAAAGACCCATTTTTTGAGGAGAAATTCAAGTTGGCTGCAGAAATTTGCATAAGTAGCAAGGAGCCTAATGTTACCTGGGGAAAATGTCTCCAGGTCATGTCAGAGACTTTCACAGCAGCCCCTCTCATCATAGGCACGGAGGCCCAGGAGGAAAAGTGGTTTTGTGGGCCGGACCCAGGAGTACTGTGTGCAGCCTAGGAACTTGGTGCCCTGTGTCCCAGCCGCTCCAGCCATGGCTGAAATGGGCCAACATAGAGCTTGGGCTATGGCTTGAGAGGGTAGAAGCCCCAAGCCTTGGCAGCTTCCACATGGTGTTGAGCCTCCGGGTGCACAGAAGTCAAGAATTGAGGTTTGAGAACTTCTGCCTCGATTTCAGAAGATGTACGGAAATGCCTGGATACCCTGGCAAAAGTTTGCTGCAGGGGTGGGGCTCTCGTGGAGAACCTTTGCTAGGGCAGTGGGGAAGGGAAATGTGGGGTCAGAGCCTCCACACAGAGTCCCTGCTAGGTCACTGCCTAGTGGAGCTGTGAGAAGAGGGCCACCATCCTCCAGATCCCAGAATGGCAGATCCACCAACAGCTTCACCCTGTGCCTGGAAAAGCTGCAGACACTCAGTGCCAGCCTGTGAAAGCACCTAGAAGGGAGGCTGTACCCTGCAAAGCCACAGGCGCGGAGCTGCCCAAGACCATGGGAACCCACCTTTTGCATCCGTGTGACCTGAATGTGAGACCTGGAGTCAAAGGAGATCATTTTGGCGCTTTAAAATTTAACTGCCCCGCTGGATTTCACACTTGAATGGGCCCTGTAACCCCTTTGTTTTGGCTAATTTCTCCCATGTAGAATGGCTGTGTTTACCCAATACCTGTACCCTCATTTTATCTGGGAAATAACTAGCTTGCTTTTGATTTTAGAGGCTCATAGGTGGAAGGGACTTGCCTTGTCTCAGATGAGACTTTGGACTGTGGACTTTTGGGTTAATGCTGAAATGAGTTACGGCTTTGGGGGACTATTGGGAAGGCATGATTGGTTTTGACATGTGAGGACATGAGATTTGGAGGGGCCATGGGTGGAATGATATGGTTGGCTGTGTCCCCATCCAAATCTCAACTTGAATTTTCGTCTCCCAGAATTGCCACATGTTGTGGGAGGGACCCGGGGGGAGGTAATTGAATCATGGGAGTCAGTCTTTCATGTGCTATTATTATTATTATTATTCCCAGAATTGCCACATGTTGTGGGAGGGACCTGGGGGGAGGTAATTGAATCATGGGAGTCAGTCTTTCATGTGCTATTATTATTATTATTATTATTATTATTATTATTATTATTTATTTATTTATTTTTGAGACAGAGTCTTGCTCTGTCACCCAGGCTGGAGTGCAGTGGCACGATCTCGGCTTACTTCAAGCTCTGCCTCCCTGGTTCACGCCATTCTGCTTCAGCCTCCTGAGTAGCTGGGACTACAGGCGCCTGCCTCTATGCCTGGCTAATTTTTTTGTTGTTGTTGTATTTTTAGTAGAGATGGGGTTTCACTGTGTTAGCTAGGATGGTCTCAACCTGCTGATCTCGTGATCCACCCGCCTCAGCCTCCTAAAGTGCTGGGATTACAGGTGTGAGTCACTGCGCCCACCCACGTGCTATTCTTGTGATAGTGAATAAGTCTCTTGAGATCTGATAGGTTTATCAGGGATTTCTGCTTTTGCTTCTTCCTCATTTTTCTCTCACTGCCACCATGTAAGAAGTGCCTTTCACCTCCTGTCATGATTCTGAGGCTTCCCCAGCTATGTGGAACTGTAAGTCCAATTAAACCTCTTTTTGTTTCCAGTTTTGGGTGTGTCTTTATCAGCAGCGTGAAAACAAACTAATACATATGCTCAACCCTAAAGAATGCAGATAAGAAAGTATAACAATAAGAAAGTATAAACAATGCAGATAAGAAACTATAACAATAAGAAAAACAATTGGAACAGATTGAAAACAAAATAAAAGAACCAAGATAGTAAACTGAGAACCAAGATAGTAAACTTACAGTAAACTACTGCCATATCAGTAATTACATTAAATGTAAATAGGGTAAATAGTAATCAAAAGGTAGAGACCATCAGGTTGGATGAAAATTAAATATTGATCTATATTTCGTATAAGAGAAGCATCTGGAATATAAAGATGCTTCTCTAGGTTGTAAATAAAAGGATGGACAAACAATATATCATGTAGACACTAATCATAACAAATCTGCTGTAATTAATTAATAATGTTAGACTAAGACTTCAAGTTAAGGAGTATTACTAAAAATAAAGAAGTTCTGGCACACAGTTTTTCTGCTTTCTAACCCTAGTTAAGTTATATTGCCTTCTTTAGTTTTCTTATTGTAAAATTGGGCTATTTGGTGCTTTACCTACTTTTTTTTCTTTTTTGAGACGGAGTCTTGCTGTCTCCCAGGCTGGAGTGCAGTGGCACGATCTCGGCTCATTGCAAGCTCCACCTCCCGAGTAGCTGGGACTACAGGCACCCGCCACCATGCCTGGCTAATTTTTTGTATTTTTAGTAGAGACGGGGTTTCACTGTGTTAGCCAGGATGGTCTCGATCTCCTGACCTCGTGATCCACCCGCCTTGGCCTCCCAAAGTGCTGGGATTACAGGCTTGAGCCACTGTGCCTGGCCACCTGCATTATTATTAATCCTTACAGCAGCTTTGCAAGATTGTTGTTATTACCATTGTATGAGTGAGAACACTGAGACTCAGAGAGGTTAATAACTAAAGTCACAGGGCTAGTTAAATGGTAAAACTGCATTTGAAGCTAGTTGTGCTTTGAGTCAGAGCTTTTTTTCCACTACACATTGTTTCCTGCCAATATACCTTCCTGAATAGTACTGTACCCTAAACTTTGCTGCTGTATAAACACACCTACTTGGAAGAACTCTCCTGAGGTCACCTGCTTAGCTCATTATGCCCTTTTGGAATCCATTCTTCTTTAAAACAAAAGAACCAAGATGTATTAAAATGTCATTAACAGGCTGTAATTGAGAATTTCCCACTTTGGCATTATGATTTTACTACTTATCAGTACATTTCAAAGATATCCCTCTCTTGAAATGCTTTGTTAACTACACCCCCAGATTACCCTAAATAAATGTTAATTTGCTAACATTTTGGTTAAGCTAAATGAAAAAAATGAGTGGCATAGATCATTGGAGTCTACTTGGAAAAAAGAAGGTATTTGCATCTTGGTGCTTAATTCTTTATGCGATAAATTGCCTAATATATGTTATTTGCTTTTTAAGAGTTGTAGACTGTAAATTACTGACAATTTGTATAGCGTTACATTATATTTGTAGCTTCTGGTAAGACAGAATACTTATAAGTTATAGCTTATAATAATTATAAAAAAGCTAAGTATGGTTTGTGTTCCTTTAAATAATCTTATAAATCTTTAGATGTACTTTGTTACCTGAATAATTGTGAATCGTGGGGGCAGGAGCCACATCTTTTTCCCACTATATTTCCAGACCCTAACACTATGCCTGGCACATGATAGACATTCAATGAATATTTTTGGCAGTTTTATTATTTCCTGAAAGTCTTGTGTGAAAACTAGCATGTAATGAAATTCCCAAGATGTGTTAAATGTTTGCTCCCTCTTGTGGATAGAAAAGATAATGTAAGCTCTTACAATGAATCTATTCTCTAGTTTTTGTTACCAAAAGATATAATATAAACAGTGTGTAAAATTTAGGGAAATTTTTATTTTTTTGAAGGGATCTGAATACAATTTTATCAACCAAAGATCTTTTAGTTCACATATATTCATAAAACATGCATTAATTCTTGCTCAAGTATCATTTTTTAAAACTATCCAGGATAAAATTTATATACTAGTACTCAATGTAGAACTTAAATAGCACTGTTTTGGGAGCCCACTCCTTCTGCTTTCCTATGTATAAATTGTATGAATGATGAAAGAACTTTCTGTTTTAATTCTGTTAATAAAACTCTATTAAATATTGTGGGATATACTTTGAGAGTATTATTAAACACATCATTTCCTAATAATTCAAAACATTTTTTATTTTGATTAAAAAAAGAATCATTTTGCTAGCCTTCCCAGTTTTTTTTTCTTTTCTTTCTTTTTTTTTTTTTTTTTTGAGACAGTGTCTTGCTATGTCACCCAGGCTGGGGTACAGTGGTATGATCTTGGCTCACTGCAACCTGTGCCTCCTGAGCTCAAGCAATCCTCCCATGCAGCTGGCACCACAGATGCACGCCACCATGCCTGGGTATTTCTTTGGATGTTTAATAGAGATGGGGTTTCACCGTGTTGGCCAGGCTGGTCTCGATCCCCTGAGCTCAGCTTAGCCTCCCAAAGTGCTGGGATTACAGGCATGCGCCACTGTGCCTGGCCAGCCTTCCCTAGTTTTTTTTTTTTTTTTTTTTGAGGTGGAGTCTCGCACTGTTGCCTGGGCTGGAGTCCAATGGCGTGATTTCGGTTCAGTGCAACCTCCACCTCCCAGGTTCAAGCGATTCTCTTGCCTCAGCCTCTCGAGTAGTTGGGATTACAGGCGCCCGCCATCATGCTCGGCTGATACTTTGTATTTTTAGTAGAGATGGGGTTTCACTATGTTGGCCAGGCTGGTCTCGAACTCTTGACCTTGTGATCCGCCCACCTTGATCTCCCAAAGTGCTGGGATTACAGGCATGAGCCACTGCGCCTGGCCGCCTTCCTCAGTTTTTAAATACAGAACACCTATTTTCTTTTAAGTGTGATATTTTTATTCTAAAGAATTAATGCCGCTGAGACTAAAAGCAGCTGGGCTTTGGAAATGCTTTGACATGTAGAATAAATCTTTTAAACAAAGGTATAGATTCTTGACGTTCTTTTCTCCATATACTCAAGAGACTTTCATATTACTTTCTTAGACTTTTCCATTCTATTATTTATAGTAGAAGTTGACTTTCATTTTGAGGCCACTTTTGAAATAGAACCAATATTTTTGCCATTTCAGAAAAATTGTCGTCTGTGTGCCAAAGACAGAGAGCATGCAGTAAAAGTGCACCATAGCATGGATGTTGGACTCAAGCAGGGCTCACTTACTAGGCAGGTGACTTGTTCCTGAAAACCAGTCTGGCTGTGAACATCATCCAGATCCTCACCTCAGCAAAATCACAGTCTGTCATTAACTGAAGCAAATGAAAATTCTAAACTTTATGAGGGCATAATACTCAGCAAAGAACACAAATCCTAACAGTATAGTTTGAATTTGCACAACATGAACACATCCATATAAACAACTCTTTGGTTAAAAGAACAGAATATGTAACGAGTAGAAAAAAGAAAAAGAGGAGATTAGGGCACATAGAGACACAAGGAAGAACAATGTGAACACAGGGAGGAGACAGCCATCAACAAGCCAAGAAGAGAGGCCCCAGAAGACACGCAAACTGCTGACACCTTGATATTGGATTTCTAGTCTCAGAATTGTAAGAAAAAAAATTTGTTTAAACAAATGAAAAAGAAGAATATAATCAGAGTTCCAGAAGCCTCCTTCTTCCATTCAATTACCCCTCACCTTTCAGCATAACTTAGTACATTGACTTCTGACATTACACATATGTTAGTTTTGCCAGTTTTAAAACTTTATGTATATGAAACCACACAGTAAGCTTTTATTTTTTTTGGAGACAGGGTCTCACTCTGCCGCCCAGGCAGAGTGCCATCTTGGCTCACTGCAACCTCAGCCTCCCAAGTAGCTGGGACTACAGGCACATGCCACCATGCCCGGCTCATTTTTTGTCATTTTAGTAGAAACGGGGTTTCAACATGTTGGCTAGGCTGGTCTCGAACTCCTGACCTCAAGTGACCCACCCGCCTCGGCCTCCCAAAGTGCTGGGATTACAGGTGTGAGCCACCACGCTTGGTCCCCATGCAGTAAGCTTTAAAAAAAAAATTCTGGTAAAATATACATAACATAAAATTTACCCTTTTTGCCATTTTAAACATACAGTTCAGTGGTATTAAGTACCCTCACATTGTTATGTGGCATCACCACCACTCATCTCTAGAACGTTTTCATCTTCCCAAACTCTATTGATTAAACGTTAACTCCCTATTCCCCTTTCTGCTTCTAAACATTAACTCCCCATTCCCCTTTCTGCTTCTGTGAGTTTGAGTACTTATAGACGTGGAATTATTTAGTGTTTGTTCTTTTATGTCTGGCTTGTTTCACTTAACATAGTATTTTTAAGTTACATCCGTTTTATAGCATGTGTCAGAATTTCTTGCCTTTTTAAGGAGCAACAATACTCTGTTGTGTGAACATACTACATGTTCTTTATTTATGGATGGACATTTGAGTTGTTTATACATTTTGGATATTGTCAACAATGGTACTATGAACATGGGTGGATAAATATGTCTTGACTCCTTGCTTCCTTAAAAGTCTTTTGGGTACATAACCACAAGTGCAGTTACTGGATCATACGGTAATTTTTTCCCTTGTATTTTTAGTTTACATGTAATAATTGTGTATACTTATGGGATACAACTGATGTTTTCATAAGAATATGCAATGTGTAGTGATCAAATCAGAGTAATTAGCATATCCTTCACCTTAAACTTTTTTTTTTTGTTGAGAACATTTAAAGTCTGCTTTTTTATCTTTTTGAAAATATACAATAAATTATAGTTAACCATGTCACCCCACAGCGCTGTAGAACACCAGAACTCATTCCTCCTATCTAGCTGTAATTTTATATGTTAACCAGGTTCTCCCCATTCTCCCTCTCACTGCCCTTCCCAGTCTCCAATATCTACAGTTGTATACTCTAATTCCATGAGCTCAGAATTCTTTTTAGCTCCTACATATGACTGAGAGCATGTATTTATCTTTCTGTGCCTTATTTAGTTTAACATAGTATCCTCCAGGCTTATCCATGTTGCTGCAAGTGATAGGATTTCATTATTTTTCTTTGTAGTTTTGTTTGTTTGTTTGTTTTTTATGTTTAGAGACAGGATCTTTCTGTTGCCCAGGCTGGAGTGCAGTAGTGTGATCATATGCTTCAGTAATGTTAAACTCTGGGGCTTAAGCGATCCTCCCCCCTCAGTCTCCCGAGTAACTGGGATTACAAGCATGTATCACCACATCTGGCTAACTTGTTTTACTTTTTATAGAGATGGGGTATTGCTATGTTACCCAGCCTGGTCTTCAACTCCTGGCCTTAAGCGACCCTCCTGCCTCAGCCTCCCAAATCACTGGGATTACGTGCATGAGGCACACTACATCTGGCCCAATTCCATTCTTTTTCATGGAGGAATAGTATTCTATTGTGTATATAAACCACATTTTTCTTTATCCATTTGCCTGTTGATGGACATTTAGGCTGACTCCATATCTGGGCTATTATGAATAGTGCTGCAATAAACATGGATGTATAGGTATCCTTTTGATGTTGATTTCCTTTCCTTTGGATAAATACCCAGTAGTGTGATTGCTGTATCATATAGTAGTTCTATTTTTAGTTTTTTGAGAAAGTGCAACACTGTTTTTTATAGTGACTATACTAATTTATATTCCCACCAACAGTGTATGAGTTCCCTTTTCTCTGCATCCTTGCCAGCATTTGTAATTTTTTGTCTTTGATAATAGCCATTCTGAGCGGGGTGAGATAATATTTGTTGGCCATTTCTATGTCTTCGTTTGAGAAATGTCTGTTCAGATCTTTGACCCACTTTGTAGTAGTGGGATTTTTTTTTTTTTGGTGCTAAGTTTGAATTCCTTGTATATTCTGGTTGTTAGTTCTTTGTTAGTCAAACGATTTGTAAGTATTTTCCTATCTACAGGTTATCTCTTAACTGTGTTGATTGTTTCTTTTACCGTGGAGAAGCCTTTTAGTTTAGTACAGTCCCATTTGTCTATTCTTGTTGTCTGTGTTTTTGTCCTGACGTGATTCCACCCAGCAGTTTTATAGTTTTGAGTCTTACATTTAAGTCTTTAATCCATTTTGAGTTAATTTTTGTATGTAGTGATAGATAGGGGTCTAGTTTCATTCCTCTGCATATGACTATCCATTTTTCTTAGCACCATTTATTGAAGAGACTGTTGTTTTCCCAATGTGTATTCTTAGCACTTTTGCTGAGTATCAGTTGGCTAAAAATATGTGGATTTATTAATATTTTTAATTTCAAGGTTCTCTGTTCTGTTGGTCTATGTATCTGTTTTGTTTTGTTATGTTTTTTGAGATGGAGTTTCATTCTTGTCACCCAGGCTGGAGTGCAATGGCACGATCTCAGCTCACTGCAGCCTCCGCCTCCTGGGTTCAAGTAATTCACCTGCCTTAGCCTTCCGAGTAGCTGAGATTACAGGTGCCCAACACCACACCCAGCTAATTTTTGTATTTTTTGGAGAGACAGGGTTTCATCATGTTGGCCAGGCTGGTCTTGAACTCTTGAACTCAGGTGATCCACCCACCTCAGCCTCCCAAAGTGCTGGGTTTACAGGCGTGAGCCACTGTGCCTAGCCTATGTATCTTTTATTATACCAATACTATGCTGTTTTGGTTACTATAGCTCTGCTGTATATTTTGAAGTCAGCTTTGTTCTTTTTTTCTGATTATTGCTTTGGCTATTCAGGGTCTATTGTGCTTCTATATGAACTTAAGGATTGCTTTTTCTATTTCTGTAAAGAATGTCCTTGGTATTTTATAGAGATGATGCTGTACCTGTAGATTGCTTTGGGTAGTATGGTCATTTTAACAATATTAATTCTTCTAATCAATGAGTATGGGATGCCTTTGTTTGTGTTCTCTTCAATCTCTTTTATTAGTGTTTTGTAATTTTCATTGCAGAGGTCTTTTACCTTCTTGATTAAATTGATTCCTAGGTTGTTGTTGTTTTTGATAGCTATTGTAAATGGGATTGGTTTCTTGTTTTTTTTTTTTCAAATTGTTCCTTTTTGGTGTGTAGAAGTACTGCCGATTTTTGTTTATTTTGTGTCTTGCAACTTCACTGAGTTTGTTTATCATTATCAGTTCTGAGTTTTTTGGTGAAGTGTTAGGTTTTCTATATGTAAGATCATGTCGTCTGCAAACAAGAATGATTTGACCTCTTCCTTTGCAATTTGGATACCTTTTACTTCTTCCTCTTGTCTGGTTGCTATAGCTAAGACTTCTAGTACTATGTTGAATAACAGTGGTGAAAGTGGGCATGTTCGTCATGTTCCAGATATTAAAGTGTTTCAGTTTCTCCCCATTCAGTATGATGCTAGCTGTGGGTATGTCATATATGGGTTTATTACATTGAGTTATGTTTCTTCTATACTCAGTTGGGAGTTTTTATCAGAAATGGATGTTGAATTTTATTGAATGCTGTTTCAATGTCTATTTAAATGAAAATATGATTCTGGTTCTTGATTCTGTTATTTTGATGTACTGTATTTATTGATTTGTGCATGTTGAGCCATCTTTGCATTCCTGGCATAAATCCCACTTATGGTGAGTGATCTTTTTAATGTGCCATTGATTTCAGTTTGCTGGTATTTTGTTGAGGATTCTATCGAATCTATGTTCATCAGGGATATTGACCTGTAGTTTTCTTTTTTTGTTGTGTTCTTGCCTGGTTTTGATATCAGGGTAATGCTGTCTCATAGAAGGAATGAGGAAGAATTCCCTTCTTTTTAATTTTTTGAATATTTGAGAAGAGTTGGTGCTAGTTTTTTTCAAGAGTTTTGTAGAATTCAGCAGTGAAGCCATCTGGTCCTGGGCTTCTCTTTTTTGGAAGTTTTTGTTTGTTTTTTGTTTTTTTGTTTAAAGACACAAGGTCTTACCCTGTCACCCAGGCTGGAATGCAGTGGTATGATCATAGCTTACTGCAGCCTCAAACTCCTAGAGTCAAGGGATTCTCCTGCCTCAGGCTAGGACTACAGGTTTTGCACCCCTTTGCCTGGCTAAATTTTTTTGGAATATTTTTTGTAGTGATGGGTTTTTCTATATTGCCCAGGCCGGTCATGAACTCCTGGGCTTAAGCAATCCTTCCACCTCAGCCTCTCAAAGCATTGAGATTATAGGTGTGCGTTATTGCACTTAGCCTTAGGAGACTTTATTACTGATTCAATCTTGTTGCTCATTATGGCTCTGTTCAGGTTTTCTATTTCTTCATTGTTCAATCTTGGTAGTTATCTGTATCTAGAAATTTATCCATTTACTCTAGGTTTTCCAATTTGTTGGTATATAGCTGTTCATAATATCCTGCAATGATCTTTTGTGTTTCTTTGGTATCAGTTATGATGACTTCATTTTCATTTCTGAATTTCTTTTGTTAGTCTCATGAGCAGTTTATTGATCTTTTTTATCTTTTCAAAAAACCAACTTTTTTGATCTTTTGCCTTTTTTTTTTTTTTTTTTTTTGTGGTGGATTCTCGCACTGTTGCCTGGGCTGGAGTGCAATGGCGTGATCTTGGCTCACTGCAACCTCCATCTCCTGGGTTCAAGTGATTCTCCTGCCTCAGCCCCCACAAGTAGCTGGGATTATAGGTATGCACCAACACACCCGGATAATTTTGTATTTTTAGTAGAGATGGGGTTTCACCATGTTGGTCAGGCTGGTCTCAAACTCCTGACCTCAGGTGATCCACCCTCCTCGGCTTCCCAAAAGTGCTGGGATTACAGGCATGAGCCACTGCGGCCTAGCTTAGTTTGGTGGTTTTCTTTTCTTCTCTTCTCTTCTCTTCTCTCTCTCTTTTCTTTTTTTTTTTTTTTTTTTTTTTTGAGGCAGAGTCTTACTCTGTCACCCAGGCTGGAGTGCAATGGCGCGATCTTGGTTCACTACAACCTCCGTTTCTCAGGTTCAAGCGATTCTCCTGCCTCAGCCTCCCTAGTAGCTGGGATTACAGGTGCCTGCCACCACGCTCAGCTAATTTTTGTATTTTTAGTTTAGACAGGGTTTTGCCAGTTGGTCATGCTGGTCTCGAACTCCTTGACCTCAGGTGATCTGCCTGCCTTGGCCTCCCAAAGTGTGGGGATTACAGGTGTGAGCCACTGCGCCTGGCCTTTTTTTTTTGAGACGGAGTCTCTCTCTGTTACCCAGGTTGGAGTGCAATGATGTGATCTCAGCTCACTGCAACCTCTGCCTCCCGGGTTCTAAGCAATTCTCCTGCCTCAACCTTCCAAGTAGCTGGGATTACAGGTGCACGCCACCATGCCCGGCTAATTTTGTGTTTTTAGTGGAGACGGGGTTTCACCATGTTAGCCGGGCTGGTCTTGAACTCCTGGCCTCAGGTGATCCACCTGCCTTGGCCTCCCAAAGTGCTGGGATTACAGGTGTGAGCCATCACGTCTGGCCATTTGGTAGTTTTCTGTAGTGGTTACATTTGAGTCCTCTTCTCTTTCTCATTTGTGTGTCTGCTCTCTACCAATGAATTTTATACTTTAAATTTTTTTTTTTTGAAACAAGGTCTTTGCTCTATTTCCCAGGCTGGAGTGCAGTGGTGTGATCTTGGCTTACTGCATGCCTCTGCCTCCTGGCTCAGGTGATCCTCCCACGTCAGCCTCCCTAGTAGCTAGGACTACTCCATGTACTCAGCCTCCCTAGTAGCTAGGCACCACCATTCCTAACTGTTGTATTTTTAGTAGAGACAGGATTTCACCATGTTACCCAGGCTGGTCTCGAACTCCTGGGCTCAAATGATCTGCGCTTGTTGACTTCACAAAGTGCTGGGATTACAGGCGCGAGCCACCATGCCTGGCCACTTTAATGTGTTTTCATGACGATAGATTTTATTCTTTCACTTCCAGATGTAGGACCTCCTTAAACATTTCTTGTAGAGCTGGTCTTGTTGTTAAGAATTCCCTCAGTGGTGACAGGCAGGAGGTGTCAAGCTGATTCTCAGGCTCTTGGATGGTGCACGCAGCCACTGATAGTGCGTTGCAGAGTTGGGCAGGCCAGCCCACAGGCTCTAGGATGGCATCTGGGGGTGTTGGCTACTGCAGGTGGGGCAGGTCGGTCCCTAGGCCCTGTGATGGCTCACCCAGGCTCTGGCGGTTGTGGGCAGGGTGGGCCAACCTAAGGCCCCTGGACAGTGTGTACCTCATATGGTAATTGTATGTTTGATTTTTTGGGGGACACAGTGGGCTTTTGTCATAGATGTATTTTGTTACTGTATACATTTACTTATTTCTTCTAGAGGTTTTTAATGTAAAGAATGCAGGGTTTTCTATATATAATCATTTGTCTGTGATAAAAGATAGCTATAATTCTTTCCAATTTTTATGACTTTTTCTTTCTTTTTCTTACTTTATTGCCTGTGATAGGACCTCTAGTACAATAGAGGTTGAATAGAAGTGGTGACAGCAAACATTCTTTACATTCTTACCTTTTTCCTAATCTTAGGGATAAATATTCAGTCTTTCACTATTAAGTATGGTGTTAGCTATAGGTTTTTCATAGATGTCCTTCTGCTGATAAAGGAAATTGCTTTCTATTCTTAGTTTGCTAAGAGTTTTTATTATGAATGTTTATTAATTTTTTTGAATATTCTAGTGAGATGGTGATATAGATTTTCTCCTTTGTTCTGTTAATATGGTAAATTATACTGATTTCTGAATGTTAAACCAACCTTGCATTGCTGGGAGCAACCTCAGTTGGTCATGATTTGTTATCCTTTTTACATAATCCTGGATTTGATTTGCTAATATTTTGTTAAGGATTTTTGCATCTATGTTCATGAGGAAAATTGGCCTGGATTTAGAGGAATCTTGGGTGCATCTGCCACGTATCAGTGACATGAGCCAGGCAATCAGGGACAATGTCTGTCATCTGCAGTAGTACTTGGGGCTGTACCTACACTTTTTGGGAGCAGTAATGCCTGCTGTTTTTCTTCCACCTTCCAAAGCATATTTTCTTTCTTTACTTTTTTTTTTTTTTTTGAGACAGAGTCTTGCTCTTTCACCCAGGCTGGAGTGTGGTGGCGCGATCTTGGCTCACTGCAACCCTCTGCCCCCCAGGCTCAAGCGATTCTCCTGCCTCAGCCTCCCGAGTAGCTGGGACTACAGGCGAGTGCCACCACACCCAGCTAACTTTTTGTATTTTTAGTAGAGACAGGGTTTCACCATGTTGGCTGGGCTGGTCCCGAACTCCTGACCTCAGGTAGTCCACCTGACTCAGCCTCCCAAAGTGTTGGGATTACAGGTGTGAGCCACTGCCTGGCCTGCACATGTTTTGTTATGGCCATTCCTGACCTCAGACCACTCAGGGAAGGAATTTTCAGGAATTTAGTTTCAGTTTAGGTGAGTTGATACAGTATGAAACCAGCAGATCTCATCTTTGCTATACTTCTTACATTTCTTTTTTCCCACCCTTGTTCTAGAGATTACAACATACATGGTTTACTTATCACAGTTCCTCTTAATTGCTTTATACTACTTCATGTATAAGAACTTTATAAGAATATTCTTCGGCTGGGTGCGGTGGCTCACGCCTGTAAAAGGCCAAGGCTGGTGGATCACGAGGTCAGGAGTTCGAGACCATCCTGGCCAACATGGTGAAACCCTGTCTCTACTAAAAATAAAAAAAATTAGCCAGACGTGGTGTCAGGTGCTTGTAATCCCAGCTACTCGGGAGGCTGAGGCAGGAGAATCGCTTGAACCCGGGAGGCGGAGGTTGCAGTGAGCCGAGACCGTGCCACTGCACTCCAGCCTGGACAACAGAGCGAGACTCTGTCTCAAAAAAAAAAAAAAAATTCTTCTATTTACCCCCCGGCAGCCTTTATTTTATTCTTTTCATGTATTTTACTTATACGTGTTATATAGCTTATAATTCATTCTGTGATTTTTGCTTAGAATTGTTTTTTAAAGAATATAAGAAATAATAAAAAAAGTCTTACATTTACTATTTCTGATGCTCTTTGTGTAGATTAGCAGTTCCATCTAGTATCATTTCCCTCCAGCATGAAAACCGTTACTGTTTTTTATATGCAGATCTGTTGGTGAGAAATTCTCTCAGCTTTTGTTTATCTGGAAATTTATTTGTTTTGATTTTTCATTATTTGCATGTTTTTCATTTAGGAGTTAGAATTAGTGGTAAACCTATCTGTTGGGTATTTAAAAACATTTTGTTAAAGAGTATAAAACAAAATTATTAAGGAAATAACATTCCTGACACTTCATAATTTTTTTATTCTGCCTTTATTGATGAGTAAAAGTTCATTTATTTTGTTCCTTATAATTAAAAAGTTTTGGTTTATGTGAAATTTACATTCAGTGACATGAAGAAATGCTCATCATCACTGGCCATCAGAGAAATGCAAATCAAAACCACTATGAGATATCATCTCACACCAGTTAGAATGGCAATCATTAAAAAGTCAGGAAACAACAGGTGCTGGAGAGGATGTGGAGAAATAGGAACACTTTTACACTGTTGGTGGGACTGTAAACTAGTTCAACCATTGTGGAAGTCAGTGTGGCGATTCCTCAGGGATCTAGAACTAGAAATACCATTTGACCCAGCCATCCCATTACTGGGTATATACCCAAAGGACTATAAATCATGCTGCTATAAAGACACATGCACACGTATGTTTATTGCGGCACTATTCACAATAGCAAAGACTTGGAACCAACCCAAATGTCCAACAATGATAGACTGGATTAAGAAAATGTGGCACATATACACCATGGAATACTATGCAGCCATAAAAAATGATGAGTTCATGTCCTTTGTAGGGACATGGATGAAATTGGAAACCATCATTCTCAGTAAACTATCGCAAGAACAAAAAACCAAACACCGCATATTCTCACTCATAGGTGGGAATTGAACAATGAGATCACATGGACACAGGAAGGGGAATATCACACTCTGGGGACTGTGGTGGGGTCGGGGGAGGGGGGAGGGATAGCATTGGGAGATATACCTAATGCTAGATGACACGTTAGTGGGTGCAGCACACCAGCATGGCACATGTATACATATGTAACTAACCTGCACAATGTGCACATGTACCCTAAAACTTAGAGTATAATTAAAAAAAAAAAATTAAAAAAAAAAAAAAAGAAATTTACATTCAGTGAAATGTACTCTTTGTAAGTGGACAATTTGATGAGTTTTAATAATTATATAGGCAGGGTGTGGTGGCCCACTCCTGTAATCCTAGCACTTTGGGAGGCTGAGGTGGGCAGATCACTTGAGGCCAGAAAGGTTTCTTCATAGTCTCAATCATTCTTAATGTCCTGTGTGAAACCATAGGTCTGATTTCTATTATTGTAGATTACGTTTGCCTGTTATTGGACTTCATGTAAATGAAGTCATACAGCATGCACTGTTTTGAGTATGGCTTTTTTCTCTCAGCTTAATGCCTCTGAGGTTCATCAGATAAATGTATTGCGAACATTTTCTCCCAGTGTGTGACTTACCTTTTTATTTCACCTTAGATTCTGGTGTTTAGTCTGAGGTCTTAACCCTGGCTGGTCCTGATGTGTAATTTTGTTTTGTAAAACTGCCAAAAACTATGTTGGTTTTCTTTCTTTTCCTTTCCTTTCCTTTCCTTTCCTTTCCTTTCCTTTCCTTTCCTTTCCTTTCCTTTCCTTTCCTTTCCTTTCCTTTTTCCTTTCCCTTTTCCTTTCCTTTTTCCTTTCTTTTCCTTTCCTTTTTCCTTTCCTTGGCTTCTAACTAAATTAAGCTTTTTAGTTATCTGACTCAATGAATACATTAATACATTGAATTTAGCAAATGTTGCTTGGCAAAAAATCTGGCATT